>NC_000003.12:173554058-173705574 GCF_000001405.40 Homo sapiens | reverse complement strand
TCAACAACATTTTAATTAGCCAATTTCTTACACAACTGTAAACGCTTCTTAGGATTTCAAAAATCTCAGGTGTGTTTCAAAGCAGCAATGTGTATTTTTACCTGTCTAACATCTATTACCCAGAAGGCAATCTGCCAGGTAACAAAAAGGTGTTTTCTTGGCCCTCCCTTATTTAGAGGAGGAATTTAGCAAAATAAAGACAGAAACTCAGAAAATAAACATCTCAGTACCATTGGTTCCTATGAAAATGTTTTACAATGACCTATTTCTTTATATCAAAAATGATGTACTACCCATAAGTAAATTTCTCTGTGGATCCTGCAAGTTCATATGACATTTTTTTCAAACATATCTTCAGGTTTGCCACAGGATGTAGGTCACAAATTCATCTACCTTCTAGTATTTCAGTTAAAAAAAAAATGTTTCCAAAGGAGATCAGTTGAAAAAAATATTGATTTGTACATGCATATGTTTAAGGCTGTCAGTGCCTTTTTGGGAGTGATAATATTTGACATTGTAGATCTGAATGAAGATGGCTTATCAACTGGAATGGCAAAAAGCCTATGCAAAGTAATTTTCCACTAAAGAAAATTGTCAAGATTGAAAGTACTGTGTTATTGATTACATGGTAGCAGGAGTATAGTTGCCTCAGAAAATGGTACCTGGCTAACATGTTGATGACACAGAGAGGATAAAACACTGTTAAATTTATGTCAAACAGAACAGTAGACAAATAGGATTTACTGTAACTTCATGTGAGAAGGTTGGAAAAGTGAACGCCAACCCCTAACCACAATTTGACAAACAGCTCCAAGGGAATGCAATTTATGAAAGTGTACTAACATATAAATGACAATCATTTTTATCATCATTAACTGATTAAGAATAATCTCACTGAGCTTTTCTGTGTCATGAAGAAGGCAAGTAGGCAGAGTGACCAAAATAATCCAGCCAATTTTTTCTACTATAATATGCAGTTCTCTCAAAATGATATTGAAACTTGCCACATTTTAGACAATACTTCTATCAGATCTCACCAGTTGGGTCTCTGACTAATCATACCAATTGAACTCTTTCAGAAATGAAACATTGATTTTTATAACTGTTATGAGCACTTTTGAAAAGTGTCTCTATTATTTACCTCACTGAGCAACAATAATTCCCAACTGACTGTGGGAAGCAAATAAATTATTCTGGTTGAAAAAAAATCCATACATACTGAAAGACTACAGCTTGGCCACCAATTTTGACCATCATTTTAAACAACGAAACTACCATGTCACTTAAGAGAATCGTTACAGACTTGTTCTATAATTGAGAACATAATTATTTTGGGGACAGTGTCAGACATTAGGACACACTTCTATGTGCCACACTTATAACAACTTTGTCTTCCCAGTTTATGCCTCCCAAACCAAGTAGTTTTTGCACTGGCTAACAATTAGTCTGTGTACTTGCAAGTAACTGAAGCTTCTGCATCTGCTACTGCAGGTAAAAAAAATAAAAGGCAGGCAATAACACAATATGTGTGTGATTTAAGGAACAGTTCCGCCACAGCCTCTAATTGCTCTCAGGATCTGAATTGGCAAAACCATAAGACATTCAACAAAAGGCTCCATGCAGGTAGGCCTATAAAACCTAATTATTTCTCACAAAGCAGACCATTCCATTTAAAATAAAAGAAAGCTATGAGCAATAAAGACCATGCCATTAACAATTAGTCTTCTGCACACATGATTAGACTCAGAGAGATAAAGAAGCCTCTAAATTTAATGACGAATCCCATATTTCTGGCGTGGTTCAATATTCTGTGCTAATTATGTTGAAAGACCTTGTGCTACTTAAAAGTACTTAGACTGCAAAGTATGACACTATCTCCATGGATTCACGGTTAACACTTAACATTTAACTTTGATATTAAAATACACTTGAATGTATGAATTCAGGAGTGACATTTTAATTATTTTTTGTTTCTTAAAATTATTTTTGGAAGCAATTTTAAGCTTTTGCCAACTGTAATATTTACTGATACTTATGTAATCCAGCATTTATAGGACTTAAAAACACAAACGTTAGTAAAACAGAGATTCTTATTTTAAGAAGAAGTTAAAATAAATAAAAAGTTCCCAGCAGTAAATAAAGCCAGTGTAAAAAGGAAGTTCAAATCAGGCAGCATTATCTGTTGATTACCAATTTTTAAAAATTATTTAAAATTAATGATGCAAAAGAAGACAAAATGAACCCATCAGGATCTAGGAAACAAACACTGATGTAGAATTTCTTTATTAAACTGAATTGCCATGCCTCTTTTAAGTAGAAAAGATTTGTTCTTTCACATAGCTTTGTACTAATTTGGTTCTATAAAGGGTACTTTCCTGCTAGCATGCAAATGTAACTTCGGTTAATATAAATGGAAGTTATCTCTACACCACAGCTGTGTGAAAGACCAAGGTTGAAGTTATTGGTAGTGTTTAATGTATAAGTTTAAAAAAAAAAAAAACTCTAGTAACATAATACCAACAAAAATTCTAGATTTATAAACCACACAGAGGAAACACTATCTTTGCCATTAGCATGGGATGGCTAGGGAAGATCTCATTTTCTGTTGGACTATATTTAATTCATAAATGTTTTATAGTCTTTGTGAAATAAAAGATAATACTATTGGCATTCAAGTAATATTGCTCAAAAAGAAAACCATTTTAATTTTATTTCTGAATGTGTGGAATAGAAAGATGAGTAAAAACAGTTTAAAGCTACAGGGAAGCGGAGGAGTCTTTTTTTCCTCCTAACTGCACAATAGTTAGTGTCTCCATAGAAACTGATGGCATCGCAGTGAAGTGTCATCCACAAACCTGGGCTTCTAAAATATACACAAGTATGTTTCCAAAGACATTGAAAAATACATGTATACATTCTTCCCCATAATAAAAGGCGATTATTATATCTTTGCAGAATAAGAGTAACAGCTCAAAATCATATGATGTTCTTTTAATAGAATAAAATTCTTTTTGATCATCATCTTATTCAAAGACAATACAGATTAAGAGGAAAAGTCCTTGCACATGATAAAGTCTTTACAGAACTTTGCTCCTTTAAGGTATTCTATTAATTAATTATAATTACATTTGTTTATGTTTGTCTTCCCAACAGGCACCATGAGCAAGGGCCATGTCTCATTGATTCACTACAGATCGCCTAGTCTGTAACTTAGCAGGACATACATAAATTCTTGTCGTGAAGTAACTCTTCCCTTTCTCTATCCCTTCATCCGCACACCCACTTTTACCCCATTTCTTATTACACTTGAAAACTCTTCTTTTTTTTTTTTTTTTTGAGACGGAGTCTCGCTCTGTCGCCCAGGCTGGAGTGCAGTGGCGGGATCTCGGCTCACTGCAAGCTCCGCCTCCCGGGTTCACGCCATTCTCCTGCCTCAGCCTCCCGAGTAGCTGGGACTACAGGCGCCCGCCACTACGCCCAGCTAATTTTTTGTATTTTTAGTAGAGACGGGGTTTCACCGTTTTAGCCGGGATGGTCTCGATCTCCTGACCTCGTGATCCACCCGCCTCGGCCTCCCAAAGTGCTGGGATTACAGGCGTGAGCCACCGCGCCCGGCCGAAAACTCTTCTTAAACATGACTTTTGTATGCAAATGTTTTTATACCATGAAACAAAGGCAGCACAGTAGAAATTAAATATCAGTGGTCTCAGAGCCTTGTGTAGCCCAATTCATCTCATCTCTATCACTAACTAGCTGTACTACCTTAAGCAAGTCATTTATCTCCACTGGCATTAGTTACTTAAGGGCAATGGGCTTGTATTATTTATATTCTAGCTCTGTTATTAGAAAAGGCATAAGCTTAAGGCTGTGTCTGAATCACTCTGTTCTAATTCAAACCTCAGAGTTTTGTATTTAAAATTGAAAAGTCAGATTAATAACTGTGTATTAGTTTCCTGTTAACAAATCACCACAAATTTAGTTGTTCAAAATACCAGAAATGTATTATCACACAGTCCTGGATGTGAGAAGTCCAAAATCAGCTTCATTGGGTTAAAATCAAAGTATTGCAGGGCTACATTATTTCTGGAGGCTCTATAAGAATGAGTTTCTTATCATTTGTGGCATCTAGATGCTGCTTACATGCCTTGGCTTGTGGCCTCATTACTCTGAGTTTTGCTTCCCTCATCACATTTCCTTCTCTGATTCTGAACCTCTTGCCTCCCTCTTACAAGGATTCCTGTGACTACACTGAGGCACCCAGATAATCCAGGATAATGTTCCCACTTGAAGATACGCTATAACATCTGTAAAGTTCCTTTTGCAATGCAGGCTAATATGTTCACAGAATATGGATATTTTTGGATGGTGAGGGGAACATTATTCTGCCTGTATGCTTCAGAAAAACTTTAGACCAACTTCAACAGCATTTTCCGGCACTTTTTTTTCAAGACGGAGTCTCGCTGTGTCACCCAGGCTGGAGTGCAGTGGGTGGCGAGATCTCAGCTTACTGCAAGCTCCACCTCCTGGGTTCACGCCATTCTCCTGCCTCAGCCTCCCGAGTAGCTGGGACTACAGGCGCCCGCCACCACGCCCAGCTAATTTTTTGTATTTTTAGTAGAGACAGGGTTTCACCGTGTTAGCCAGGATGGTCTCGATCTCCTGACCTTGTGATCCGCCCGCCTCGGCCTCCCAAAGTGCTGGGATTACAGGCTTGAGCCACCGTGCCCGGCCTTTCTGGCACTTTTATGAGGTCTAGAGCTTAAGAGTCCTATTAGCCTCTCTCAAACATACACATTAGCATTGTACTCTGGCTTCTACATAATTGTCTTGCCCTACCATATATCAGTTATAACACTGATAGAAGAAGTTTCACATTAAAAAATAAAATATGACAGAAATTAGATTCAAGTAATAGCTGGACATGAGAAACACAAATGCAGGTTTCTGCCTAAAGATGATGCATCAGAGAGCAGAAAACAGGCATTTAATTATGTGTAGATTCTACGCAGACTCCATGAAAATGTAACAGAAGTTCCACATTCAATACAAGGAACTCATTATGAAAACATAAACCACTACTGTTCAGCTTTCTTCATACAGTCTTAATGATGGAATTTATTTGTTTCTGCCTGTAGAGTACAAAGTACATTACAGTAATACAGAGACCTGAATACATCTTTTCTCACCTTGAGAAAGTTAGTAACCAAAGTTCACACAGATAACAAGGCAGTTTCTGTAAGATTTAATTAAAATGAACTAATCTGGCTCTTTTGATTGCTTTCAAAATTATCTTATATTTTTCCAAGAAACAGAATGGTATAAAAAGTAAGAAAATGGAGCATTTCTGCAGTAGTGATTAATATGAACGCATTTACAATAATTTTTGTAGATATACAATTAACAATAATATTTTAGTATATTTCCCAGGAGCCTGTGGTTTTTGGCATTTGGGGAATAGTTTTCATTCTGCTGATTTACTCCATTGCCCGTATCTTATCCAGTTACTTCCCAAAAGATAAATAACTAACTATGTGGAGTTTTGTCCTTGTGATGGGAAGAATGTAAATCTGCTCAGTTTGGTAGGTGAATTAGCTCTTTTCAGCCAAAGTTCCACTTAATAAATTATGCTCCAGTGCACTAAATAGTACCTCTGTGACCAGAAAAGTTCTCTTTTCTTTTTCTTTTTCTATCTTCCTCCTACCTCCCACTGGTGGGCAATTTTCTCCCCACTGGTGGGAGGGGAAAGCTCATTATTTGTGAGGTATTTTACAGTGTGTCTATTCACCAGTCCTCAAAAAATTACCTGCTGCTTCTCCTATACCTTTCTACATCCTTCCCCCTAAACCTTAAAACATAAAATACTCTCTGGATTTTATAATTCCCATTTTCAATAGTGAAAACCAGGAACTCAAGGCCACAAAGGCTACATGGTGACTCAGTACTGGAGAGAGGGATTTGGATCTGTGACTTTTAAAACTCCCATTCTGTTGCTTAGTTCACTGAGACAGGAAGCTTACATTTGTATTCACTGCAAGAACAACTTATTTCAAAGAATCCATGACAAAGCAGAACAGTTTTTACTGCTGTCCTGGAAAAATCAGGCCATTTGGCTGCCCTCATGACACATTTGAATAAGAATATCAGGTTAGAAATTTAGGTCAAAACAAACCAAGAGAGAAGAGCTTGACATATTTAACGTCAAGAATAGGCTAACATATTTAACGTCAAGTTGATTTTGGATTTGCCCTAAATTGTATGGATGTGCATTGTTAACCTGTATTGGTAACATTTAGTTTGTGTTCTTTTATTTTATGTTCAGGCTTGGTAAACCATATTAAAATTTGGGTTTTGAAATAACTGGTTTTGCCATGATTGAGGGGTAGATGAGGTCCTAGATTTTTGTTTTTTAAAACTTCTTGAGCCAGGTGCGGTGGCTCACGCTTGTAATCCCAGCATTTTGGGAGGCCTAGGTGGATGGATCACCTGTGGTCGGGAATTTGAGACCAGCCTGAACAACCTGGAGATAACGCGTCTCTACTAAAATTACAAAATTAGCTGGGCAAGGTGGCGCATGCGTGTAATCCCAGCTACTCGGGAGGCTGAGGCAGGAGAATCGCTTGAACCTGGGAGGTGGAGGTTGGGGTGAGCTGAGATCACGCCATTGTACTCCAGCCTCGGCAACAAGAGGGAAACTCCATCTCAAACAAACAAACAAACAACAAAAAAAATTCCTGTTTTCTAATTGCACAATACACAACATTTCTCACCATTTCATCACTGGCATTCTCTTAGCTCCAAATAGGCAGATAATGTCAAAAGAAAACAAAATAAAGGCTTTTTGAAATTAATCATTTATTCATTTGGGAAAGCTTCTCTTGTGTATGTATGGACAACAGAATTTTTTTCCATAAAATAGAAAAAAAATTATGTAGCAAACATGTTGCTCTTTGAAAACCAATTTTTTTGTATATTCCACGGGGCATAATATAGAGCAAGGTATATACTGAGAACTGAACAAATATGATGGCCAATGTACTCTATCATTTTAAAGCATTTTGCCACTAGTGGGTAAAGTCTTATGCATCAAAAGGGAATACGGTTGTTCCACTAGTAGAAGGCGCATAAATGCATCAGACGACCAGAAGCCATTTAATGAAATGGTTTAGGTGGTCTGTTATCTCTCATCAGTGAAAGAATGGGTATTTGAAAGAAGACTACCTGAGTGCTGATTCTGTTTTCATATGGCATAAAAAAAATCTTCGATTTGATAATTCAGTATTGCAACGTGATGCCCTTCTTTCCTGGATTTCTAATTCTTGGAAAAAATACCATAAGCATTATCATCAAATTCATTTATTGAGTGTCTAATAGTTGCAGAATAAATAAACTACAAACCTTCACAAATCAGTGAACAACATCTTCTGCAACAGAACAGTGATTTTCCTAAGGATTTATGATCCTAATGAACTAGAACATGGGAAAAAGTTTTTAAGCTATCTTGAAATAAAGCATATATAAATAAGTTTGTTTTTTTTTTTTTTCATTTTTTAAGCTTTGTCCTTATGCGTTTAGGCCACTGGTTACCATCCACTGCAATGGAAAAAACATTTACAAAATGGCCCCAATAATCTAAAAAAATTAATGTATTACTAAAAAGTGCACATTTACCCTCTAATCACAGAGAGGGTCTGACCTATAAAGGGGAATAGTAATAAAAATAATATTAGATTGAAAATCTTTCTCTCGGCCAGATGCAGTGGCTCACGCCTGTAATCCCAGTACTTTGGGAGGCCGAGGCGGGTGGATCACCTGAGGTCAGGAGTTCGAGACCAGCCTGACCAACACAGAGACACCCCATCTCTACAAAAAACAATACAAAATTAGCCGGGCTTGGTGGTGCATGCTTGTAATCCCAGCTACTCAGGAGGCTGAGGCAGGAGAATCACTTGAACCCGGGAGGCAGAGGTTGCGGTGAGCTGAGATCGCACCATTGCACTCCAGCCTGGGCAACAAGAGCGAAACTCAGTCTAAAAAAAAAAGAAAATCTTTCTCTCTGTCCCTGTCACTCTAGCAAACAATATAGAAATTTGTATGTCCCTCTCTTAATGTTTTTAAAAATCCTTTCACAAAATCAGACAATGAAAAATAAAACTGGCCACTAATGTGCTTATTGTATCCATTTTCTTTATAAACAGATGTAGAAACTGAGACTTAGAAAGGTAAAGGTAGGGCAGATTGCCTAAGGAAACACAGCTTGGAAAATATGTAAAAAATAAATAAATAAATAAATAAACTTGAGTCCTGCTTTGACACACTCCCAAGCATATCCTTCTGACATGCTGTCATATTAACTCATCAGGTTGTTTTATGAGTATCTATGCAATGTGCCTGTAATTAAAACATGTATCTATATGTTAGTGAGTAGAAGGCAGCATAAAAACTGGAAAGAAACATTTAACTTTCACTAGGATCAAAGCTAATGTGGCAATACTACTTCTGATCATATTTTTAAAATGATGAGAAGGATAGCATTGTTAATAATAGGTAATAGCTATTATTACTCTCTGGCTTGCTCTATGGCTCTATCAGACTGCCCATTTTCAGAAGAGTCATAAATTTTTTCTTCATAAAAATCTGAATCTACTGTAGCAATATACTTCTATGAAACATACTACTCTGTTTAGGTGTTTACTCCATAATGTCTGCAGAACACCTTGTAGGTGAATACAAAAGACTGTGATGTAATTATGAAAAAGTGTGGCTAGTTCATAGAAATTTACACTTTCTTGTATATGTAGGGCAACATTTTTATGTGGTTAAAACTCATAAGAAACAAACAAAAACAAGCCCGACTAATGTTCTTTCAATTGTCAATGACCATATTCTTCTTAGAGAAAAGAAAGAAAAGGAAGGTGAAGGAGAGAAAAGAAGTATGAAGTAAACAGAGTTGTCTTCCCAGTGCTCTCTTCCATTTTCTAGAAATTTTAGTCTACTCCTTCCTCAACGATGCTTACCATATAACTCTTCAATGTTCAGAATGATTTCATTATTGGGCCACAGATGATTGGCTCAGCAATGGGCTGGATCTCTTGATTCAACAAGAGGGCCACTCATAGTCCCTTTTCAAGGTTTAGAAAACTGGAGCTGAGAAAAAAAAGTCTCTTGGTAGCTATACCTATAAAACATAAAACTAGGGATCTAAAACATAGCCATTTTCCCACTATGCTACAAGGAGAAGTTAGAGTGCTAAGGTAGACATTGGAGTCAAGAAGCCAAGACAAGCAGAAATAAAAATCAAAAGAGAATGTTGTCAGTATTTAAACCTTCGGAGGGCAAAATCCTCCTGTCACACATTTATATTGTTCACTCTTTTCTTGAATTGTATATTCTAATAGATTTCCATTTTTAGTCAACTTAGTTGGAACTTAGTTTCTTCACAGGTACCATAAAGAATTATAAATAAGGCCAGGCTCAGTGGTTCACACTTGTAATCTTCACACTTTGAGAGGCAAAGGTGGGAGAGTTGCTTGAGCTCAGGAGTTAAAGACAAGCCGGGGAAACATGGTGAAACCCTGTCTCTACAAAAAATACAAAAATTAGCCAGACATGGTGGCTCACACCTGTAGTCTCAGCTACTCAGGAGGCTGACATTGGAGGATCTGCTTAAGCCCAGGAGGTCGAGGCTGCAGTGAGCCATGATAGCACCAATATATGCTGGGCACAGTGCCAGGCACTTCACAAACTTTCTCTAATGTTCACAGACATTCCATGATATGAGTATTATTCTTCACACTTTATAGATAGAAAAACTAAATTGTGCAAAGTTTTATTTCAAGAAGTGATCGTAATAAGGTTGAGTTATGCTTGTGGATATGCTTCTTACATTACTGGTTTGGCAAAAAGCTGTGGACTTTTATAAGTCCACAGTATAAGATTTTTAAAGTATAAGATGTTTAAAAACAAAAACAAAATAGAAACAAAATATTTAATAGTTAGCATGCTAGTATAGTGTAAGAGGCACTGAAAAATAGTAAGATAAAAAATTTGAATATATGGTCTAGTTTTATAAATAAAATTTTATTAATGACTCAGAATAAATGGATTGAAAAAAAAATCCTAAGTATGAACATATATATCCTTGTGGATGCACTATTCTTTGAGGAGAATTTTGTGGATCAGTCTGGAAACCTAATTATCTTTTCCTACATAAAAATGTTTTGTTTTTTATTTTCAAGCTACCTATTAACAAATGGATTTTAGAAGACAACTACTTTGAAACATGGGGACTGACTGTATTAATAATGTTTGGTTGTTAGAATATTTAACAGTACAGAATCATGTCTTCAAAGTACTTCTGGACACTGAAGGTAGCTATTCTTCTCTTTTTCTCTTGAAAAAGTATTTTTTTTAAATGAAGTATTTATTAGCAACTTTATTTAGGCCATAAAATATGGGATTTTTAAAAAAATGACTAATTTTAACACCCAGCTGGAAGCCTTTGACTGTCAGGCTCAACATATATAGCTAAAAGTCTCTGGAAAAGCCTCAGATACTGAAAGTCTCAATACAATTACTGGAAAAGTCAAAGCAAATAAAGATAAATGCAGAATTTATTAATGAAATCTGAAAGTTACTCACACCTCAACTATGTGTCCACACTTCAGTGGAGGGCTGGTAGTGGGCCATATTTTTCTTCTCCCTCTTTGAAATTCATTTTCTGCTAATATTGTTTGCTGTGGTTGTGCACATGCTGCATGTCATGTGTCTTGTCACAGTCAATAAAAGGCAACACAAAATTGCACATGTGAGTAATATTCCAATCAGGACCATTGCATAGAAGTGCTGTAAGCCCTAGGCTTATAATCTCATATTTCAATTTACAATGAAGGCTGGAATCTACCAGGTAAGTAATATTTTCAATGGTACCTATGAAAAAATGACAAGTTTTCATTCTGGATATGAGGAGCTATGCACAAAAACATGTTTCATTTACCCTACTGTACATTCTGACAAACAAACAAAATCTTATTCAGTTTTGCTTCTTTTTATCACACAAGGCAATATGAGAGAAAAATGTGTTCTGTTGAATCAGTTTGTACCTCAATATATTTGAAATCCTAGATAATGTACACGTCAGTAGGTCCCAATGAACCAAACATAATGAAACATTAAATGGGCCTTTATCATTGTTCACAAGCTTTCAACACCGCACTTGGCCCTCAAGTGTCCAAACAATTTTCAGTTAGTTTTGCACCTCTACATTACATAATGTTTTATTTGTGCTCATCTTGTCATATCTTGTTCCAGACTGCTCAGAGTGCATCACTGACTTAAACATACAGAAGAAATATAATTCAAAATTGACCTTATTTATTTCAGAAGACAAAGAGAGAGAGAAAAAAACAGAGTTTCACAACTTTGACCAGCAACAAGCAATATAAATCATACAAAATCACTAACAGAGCTGGTCGGTCTCATTGCTCTCTCTTTGTTGATACTTTGGGATTCAGTTTCCTCTGGGTTCTCATACTTTTTAAGGACTGTTTTCTTCCTATTATTTTCTTATACTTTCCTTTTATTTCTTCCTATTCTCAGCAGTGTATTGTCCTTAAATGTGTTATTTTATACTTTCCCTAAAATTTTAATTTGTAGCATGAATTAAACTAATATCTGTGTATTAATAGTTTATAAACACCTTAATATTATTTTCCAATTCACTATCCTCAACTTTCTCCAAAAATGTTAGTTCTGGATACTTCAGCGACCCAAAATAACACAAAAAACTTACATTGTTACCTTTTAAAGAAAATTAACCTTCTTTTTTATTTTTCATTCTTCTGAACACCATTTCCTGTTTTTTTGTTCATTATTTTCTGCACCATTCTCCCAAACATTATCTATTTGTTAGTCTGCTGTATAGCCAATATTAGAATAAAAACATCTCTAATTCATGCTACTAAATTTAGGAGAGTGAATGCCAATATAAGTTAAAATTCTAATACAAGAAGAATATAAGCAGGTTGTCAAGTGTGATACTTAGTAAAGAAAATTCTCTTCAATGAATAGATAATTTTAATTTATAAATACTCTATTAATACTTTAAGTAACTTCTTATGTTTGAAGGTATTGGTAAAGTTTTAGCTTTTTCACACATGCTCCATTATTCTCCATTGTTTTCTACTCTCACATGTTACATATTTATGCTACCTCCCTATTCATGAAGGAATTTGCAATAATAGTATTTGCTTTCCATAGTTGGTAAGTAAATTTTATTTCAGTCCCTCCTTTAACTTCACAATTAAAAAAAAATTCTGGTGTTCCGAAATACATGAAGGACTAACTTTATAGAAGGTGCACATCAAAACACTTCCTTCAATACCAGAAGATCCCCAGCATTTTATCTTATTCTGCTTTGAGATGTCAGAATCACTTGCTCTGTTATTTTTCCACAAAATTACCTTACAAAGATTCCTTAACCAACTTATTATAACTCTAGTTTTTACCTTCACTTGTAGTGTACTCTTGAGGTAATCAAGTAACAAATCTCTTTAGGCCACCAATTTGAACCATGCAAAATAGCAAGGATACTTGGTATGATTGAAACGTCTCACTGGTGGAGAAATGGTTTGTGTGCTCAGCTCTATCTGACATCAGGCATGCGCTTTTGACTCTATATAGTACCTGTTAATGGGAAAGTGACCCCTCCTTATTTCCATCAGTGTTCTTTCCAATGCATTTAACCCTGTTCACAGAGACTATTCTCATGATGTATTCTGAGGATTAGAGGTAATGCAGCTAAAGACTTCTAAGTATATTGCAAAAAAGTTAGCTTTTAAGTATAACGTATTATCATTTTAGTTCATATTAATTCAAGCAGCTCACCTTTGCCTTCAGGGTTCTGTAGCCTTCTGCGTACTTCCAAATTGTAGCTATCAAACACATTTCTAAAATACTCAATATAAACACTAAAGTAGTATGTTACCAAGGATTTTCATCACCCACTGCAGGTATTAGATAAGTCCAATCTTACCTCTGTACTTTAGAAAAATGTAGTTGAAAAAGTCATATTTTGCATTTATATAGTATTTTCTATGTTCAAAGACATAACTGATTATTTGCTTTATTATATCGCGGTCACATAACATTTAGGGCTATAGAGACACTTATCAGTTAATCCTCATGCCACAAATGTGAATAGATCACTGACTTTTTAATTGAATAAAAACTTCTTCACACAGAAAAGTGATAACTGCCAAACAAGGTTTAAAGTTTACTGCTTTTATATCTGAGGAGACGGTGACTACATAAGTAAGCGATGTCATAACATCTACCAGCAGAATAATTAATAACAGAGCAATTTCCTTTTTAAACACTAGTGGGCTTAACAAAATATTGATTTCCAGTTGAGAATGCCTTATGTCTAACAAGTAAATGAAAAGAGAATTATAATGATGCTATATTTTGATTTAATTAGTATATTGAATTTTATTTCCTGGTAACTGCTACGTGAAAAATAAATCTTCTATTATTTTCTGACCTATTAAATCCACAACATTCAAGATACCACGTGTACCTTAGTGCAATAAAATTAATTTTGTATTCTTTTATAAAGAGATGCATTGTGCAGTCAATTTTTAGCTTTCAAATGACTAAAGTCCTTCCACAGATGGGAATTTAATGTGTATTCTCAGTCACCACCCATAAGCCAATATTTTTTTTCCAAAAATCTTTAGTAGTAAAAACATTTCACTTAAAGAAAATATTTGTTGCCGTTGTTTCATTTTCTTTGGTTTTGGAAGCTGTTCAGTAACATTTAGAAGCAAGTACAGTCAGTATCATATAGAATCCAACTAGATAACACCACTGACAGAAAAAAACGTGATGCAAGCCCTTGGTACTGACTTCATATATGATCTCAACACAAGCTCTAGGCAGGACCTCTAAGGTCTCTCCTAACTCTTAAACGTTATCTCTGAGTTGATATTTGGGTTATAAGTTATCCCACTTTAAGACACGTATTAAACACACATGAACCTAGATGAATGCTAAATGGAGTACACAAAAACATAATATAAAGTCGCTGGCTTCAAAGATTTTATTTTCCTTATGATGTAAATAAGAATCTGCAGCTACTGAACAAAACTGTATTTTAGAAAATCTTTTAAAGAGCCTATTATAAATTAAGAAGAGAGAATTCAGAAGGATATTAATTTTGTAGTAAAAGCAATAAATGCAGAGGATGGAGAAACAGAGAGACAGAAAGAGAGAGAGAACGCATTGGCTTGAATCATTGGAAAAGCTTCAGAGACAGAGGGATATGAATTAAGCCTTGAAGAAATGGGCTAAAGAGGGGTTTGGAGAAAAGGAAATCTTCCAGATGGGAAAACAGCATGAGCAAAGGACAGGAGTAGGAGTATTCCCTAAATGTTATTTCAAGTTCCCCCTCTTAGAAGCCAACAATGACTACCAATCATTCCTTGAATATAATTCAGACTCCTAATCACAAGCTTCAAAGCTTCCACTCCTCCATCTCCCGGAATCCCCAGTTAATATTTCGTCAGGTATATCAACTTAATATATTCTACCTAGAACTGTGTTCACCCTTCTACAACTTCTGCAATTTTTACAGCTTCTCCTAAGGCACTTTCCGTAAGGCACCACAACCTGTTCATCCTGTACTCCAAAAACGGTTTAAACTCAAGTCTTTCTGCCTTTGGCTTCTTTCCCTAACCACACTTGGCTCTGATCTCTCCATACAAACTATAATTAGTCACATATCTATGTATCTTGCACTTTTTATCTTTTTAAAAAATCTATGCCTCGTTGTGCATTTATTCTTATATGCAGTCAGTGCTGCTGTAAACGGAAGCAGAAACTATGTTCTTCATTAACTTGATTACAGATTACCAAGGTCCATGAATCATTCATACACTAAGAGCTTCTACGGAATCTGACATCATGGACTTTCATTACATAATTCATGTATTTGTTCACCAAATATTTACTGATAACTGTGAGCAAAGCACTATACATATTTATAGTATATATTATTTGCCCCACAAAAAGATTTCAACTTAGTGAGAAACCAAACAGTAATTCAGGCAGTATGTGAAAAATGCCACAGAAGGTAATAGCAAGAGCTGACAGCTTATTTCTAGATGTGGTCATTATAGTTGGAATCATAAATAAGGAGGTGTCTAGGCAGGAATAAAAATTATAATGCCTAGAAGTGAGAGTAAATGGCATCCTAGGAATGAGAAACAAAAAGTTTAAAGGTATAGAATATGTAAGTCATGATGTTGTGGTCAGCAGTCCTCTTCACTTGAGTAGAGACTTTTAAAAAATGTTTTAGCACAATATTTAATACAAGCCGTTCTAACCTGAATCCACGCCAAGACCATTAGTTCATTTTCTTTTTTAAGTGTCGCCTATAAAATGGGCTCACTCAGTAAGGATTCTGGAGTCCTGCTACCACTTTTGACTGTCAGTAAGTAAATGATTAATATTCGGAAAATTCTAAGTCTCAGTTTCTTCAAATATAAACAAAAGACTAGAATCACTCAATCTCTTCAAACTTCCCTATATTCGTTACCTTAATGTTATGTTTACTTTTTTCATAACACTAATCCCCCACTTATTTTTTTATTTATCTGACCCCCATTCCTCATGAATAGAACATGGGCTCCATAGAAGTAAGGGATCATGTCTATCCTCTCCACTATTGCATCCCCTATTTCTAGTTTATTTTGAAAATTACTGAAGTGCTTTCCTTCTTTGCATTTTTGAGAACAGGATTTTTATTGTAGTTCATCCAAGGTACCTAATTGAATGGGGCAAGGTAGAGTGGGAGGATCTGGATTCGTTACAGATAGAATGAAAAATAATTCAAGATAAAATTCAGCTTGTAATACACAAAATATGATTTTGCAGCGCATGGGAGCCTTGCAAACCAGGCCATTATCTTGAGGAATCTTGTCAAAATTCCTTTGGCTCCTTCTTTAGGGTAACAAAGGTCAGATTTAATAGTGCCTACAGGAAAAGACTGTGGGGTCAAATGCCATTTTCTCTTTCTGATCTCAGAGAATTTTGGGAGGTGGAAAGAAAAGTTGAAGAGCCATTTCAGCAGGGGTGTGTTCAGATTTGTCCAGCAGATAGGGAGGGGCATTAGGGAAGTCAGAGGAACTCTACAAGCAGATTGGGGCTGCCTCCTCCATTACCCAAGTCTCTGTAACTTCCCAGGGGAAGCCTCCTTACAAGATACCTCACACAGTCTTGTGACAAGAGCAATCTCATACCCTTAGAAGCAAAAGTAGTCAGAGGGGGTGATGTTGGGTTTGATTTCGCCATGCTGCAAGCACAGTCCCACATGTCCAGGATATTGAGTTGAGAACAAGCAGGGCAGTAGTACAGTCCACCAGCATAATCTAGAGGAATACTTTAGAGGCTGGAGGTGACTCAGGACATAAAGGAAGGTCTGACTTTTATGGAGCCAAATGGGACCAAGGCAGCCAGTAAGAGCAGATCTGGGTCTACCAGAGTAGGACATAAATGACATTAGCGGCAGATGTTAGCCATAAATTATTAGTACACCCAAATGGAAGGTGACTAAATGCAGACACTAAATGTGACAACAGGATGCCAAAACAGAAAAACCCAACTTTTTGACAGTCTCATATGTAACTCCCTTCCCCAATACTCCTTGGCACCATTTTAATGAAAGAAAAGAAAATTGGAGGAGGTATTTTTTTAGAAATTAGCAATTTTGTCCATGACATTTTGAAGACTAATTTTGAATGCTGACTACAAGAACTATTTTATCATATTATACCTAAGCTTGAAAACATATTGGGATGCTCAGTTAATTTTTATCCAATAGGAGAAAGCAAGATTAGTTTTCTTATACATCCAGTTGAAGTAAGAGACCACGTGACTTGCCTGTGGTATCTTTAATAACGTAGTGTCTGCCATGTGTTTAGTGTTTGATAAACAGCTTTATTTTAATGACTGAGACAGTAACAGGGCTCTCTCAATGGCTATATTATTTGATTCCAGTGTATTGCTATGATTAAAAAGAAAATGTGAATGACCTTTTTAGTCGCTCTCCACTGCCCAAGCACACAGCACTCAGAGGAATACAAAGTCCTAAGAAAAACAGCATTGTTTTAGGAGGCCAAAACTCAAAGCCTAATGACTCATTAACTTTGTGTAAGCTTACTGAAACTTACTTCCCTTAGGACAGCAAATGAAATAAGAGGATTCCATTGCATCCTCAGGAGCCATTAGCAAATCCTTGTGTCACTATTTAAGAAAATCTCCATAATAGAATTGATAACACTCACAATTGGCTTAACGGTTTACAAAGCATGTTCACATACACCATGTCATACGACTCACAAGTAGGAAGAACATGCAGTAGCATTAAATATTTGAAAAAATGCCTTTGAAAAGGCACATGACCAGCAGTATCTCATCATCAGACATAGTCTAGGTCTACAACTCAACTGAATACATACAATTTTGTGTATGAACTGCAGAATGTCCATTATATCAGGCATTTGAAACACTAGTATGCCTTATTATTACCTTCTGACCATTCTGTTTAATTTTAGACCTTTCTTAGAGAACTAGTATTTCCTGAAATTAACTGAGATTTTAAAACGTGGTATTCTAGTACAGAGCAACAGTTCTTGCCTACAGTGGCTGTGTTCCTTAGAATGTCTTTTGTTCACTTTTTAATTTGGGAGGCTCTTTCATTGATTGTCTGGAAATACTTGCTAGCTGTTCTGCATTCAAGAAACATTCCTGTAGAGTGAAGAATTATCCTACATCTGACACAACTTTCAAAGACCTTGCTGGACATACATATATAAGTGAAATAAATATGTATAGTTATCTGAGCTGATGACATCGACAACTCCTTTTCACATATCAATATTTAAACATTTTATTTTTCTCACTTTTTAGTATAAATATAAATTCTCCCAAAATACAACTGTTTTATAAGTCCAGAGACATTTTTATTTTATTTTTCACAATTGTATCAAGAGTAAGTTACCATTTAGGAAAATCAGGTGACTGACAGCAGGGCTGCTCCTACTATTTGAGTCCCCAACAAAGCACACCTGTATCTGTCTGCCTTTTAGCTATTTAGTGATTCTATGTATAGGCATAAGCATCTGACTATTTTATCCATCTTCTAGTGAAGCCATACCCACGCATGTACATAATAAGGTCTATATCATTTTAAAATTACTTTTAAAAATCACATGTGTGGGTAGAGAATATTATCCATTAGCTTCATTTTAGTAAAATGTGCATTATAAAAGATTTTACACAAAGGAGTTACTGAGTCTATTTTATTGAGAACCACTGTTACAGGAGAATCCAACTCGGTTCTACAAACATAGGGTTAAGTCCAGAATTTAAGGTAAACAACCTGATCGTGGATTCCATTTGGAGTTTCTTTACAAGCACAGCAAAACCCAACATGCAGACTACTACTGTCCCAGTGCTACACACTTTCCAACCCACAGTAACCACTCCTCCTGGATACTTGTTCCCATACCACACACAATTCAGATTTCAAAAGAGGTTCACAAGTATCTTTTTTTTTTTTGTCTTTGGGACGGAGTCTTGCTCTGTCACCTGGGCTGGAGTGCAATGGCGTGATCTCGGCTCACTGCAATCTCCACCTGCCGGGTTCAAGCAATTCTCCTGCCTCAGCCTCCTGAGTAGCTGGAATTACAGGCGCCTGCCACCACACCCCGCTAATTTTTGTATTTTTAGTAGAGATGGGGTTTCACCATGTTGGCCAGGCTGGTCTTGAACTCCTAACCTCGTGATCTGCCTGCCTCGGCCTCCCAAAGTGCTGGGATTATAGGTGTGAGCCACTGCACCCAGCCATGAGTGTCTATTTATACACAGGATGTTGGAGTAGGTTATGGATCTTGTCTATATGGCTGGGGGAAGCATGGATAAGCAATAGCATGCCTATGATTAGAAGCTGGGAAACATTTACATAGTAATGACAATAAAATTAACCACCCTTAAAAATCCTCAGAGAGCAAAGTTTGATTAGATCACCAGGAAACATCATTTCCCTTATTTTCTTCCCATTAGAGTCAGTCCCAGAATTCAAAAACTTTGATACAGTAATTCTAATTTAAGGAGAAGTATAATAAAATCAAAATGAAGTTAAAACCCCCTTTTGAAAATGAAAAAAAGAGAGGAAGTAAAAGAAATTTTTACTTATTAAACAGTTGGGGTAATTTTATTTTGTTTCTGTTTTGATTTTTTTTTTTTTTAGTCAAGCGCTTTGCGTTTGCTTTCTCATCTTAGTACAATATTAAGAGAACTCTGAATTCAACAACTGAAGAATAAGCTAAAATGTCTCCACTTTCACAGTTATCTCAATATTGCTGAGATTATGCTATGAAAAATCAATTGTGTACTGTGACCAAAATAACAAGTTCTTGCCTTGGGTTTTAACTCAATGTATTTCCTTTAAAATGTTTTAAAATTTAAAAATAGTTGTTAGCCACCTTCCCAAATGAGCATGGTTAATGATTGCTAGACTCTGCCATGCCTTTTCTTCTCCCTCTTCCCTTTACCCTTCTTGTAGCTTGATATAGTCCACGTACTCCCACATCATAAATTCAGGTTTTAATCTTCTCAATCAAGTGAAAGAAGTATTAATTTTATTTTAATTGTAAGAGGACATCTGATGTTGAAGAATAGTAAATGATATCTCCATATTCACATTCAACCCTCTCATTGTGCTTACCTTTTTGACACAGCACATACAAAAAGCCCCAGCACATGCTTCAGAGTCACACTGGATCACCCAATCTTGGTACTCTTGGGATCATTTACCAAACTTCCTGGATTTGAGTCCTTACATGACATAGCTATCTTTCCGCCCTAACAACTTAGAGCTCACCATCTTAAATCATTGACTTCCAGCCTATCTCTGATAACTGAACTTTAATAACCTCTTTTCCTGGGATTTGATGACTGCCTGGCAGCCCTTGTTCTATGCAGGGGCTGAGGTACAACAGTGGTAACTATTAACTTAAGGCCTCGAAAATCACCCAGCAATATTGTTTAAGTAGGAATCATGGGAGCATTTTTATAACAGTGTTTAGGACAGTTCAAATTATTGATGCATTTAAAACACGTTTAGCTCTTAATTTTCATAAGATACTAGTAACCTCAACCCTCATAGCTCATAAAACCTGGGAATATGTCTTAACCATACATAAAGAATGATTTGAATCTGTTCTTTTCTTGTCCACAGGGCTTCTAATGATTTTGTCTCATAATTACTAATGACCAATAAGTTTCATTTTGTGTCTATTGTAATATTGGGAGCAACTTATTTAAATTGATTTTCAACTGGAGCAACTACTCGGCATCCTGTAATTATTGTTAACGTAACACAAACCATGCATTATTAAATGAGTTTCCATTATTAAAGACAAAGGCCATTAAATGGTCTAATAAGGAGGGCTTAACATAATGCTAAGAATCATCTGGTGCCATACCGGGCATAGAGGATTCAACTGGTGGCACACATTAAAATCTATCAGTACGAAATAATATATTATCTACATGCAAAAGAACTCTATTAAAAACAATAATTTATGAATTATCAGAAGTAGAGCAAGGATTATTTACCTTTAAAGGCTTTTGTAATAACACTCCACTGTTATGTATTAATTTTTAAAATAGCTTAGTTATAATTTTAACTGCTAAGGTCAGGAAAATATTAAATTGGGATGAATATACAGTTAATTCAACTAAAGTACAACTTTCAAGCTTCAAATATTTTCATCATGAAACACTTCATGTAAATTCTCAATATGTAATTTGAACACAAACAAAAAAAGTGAACAATAACCTGATTCAGTGACTGACATTTCCAATATGATGTAAATTGGACGTCACATGAGCTTAGAGATGTAGTGGGACCACTTCAACACATTTTAAAAATTGGGTTCTTTGAACATCACAAGCATGTTTTCCTTTGGTCTAGTTTTTCAAAGCCCAGATATGTAGAAAGCTAATGGCCTATAAGTAAATTAGAGCAATGGACATCTTTTACGTCTATTACCCAGGTACACTTCAGCCTCATAGTATCATAAAGATATGCACACTACTTAAGTTCTGACTTTTAAACTTCATATTTATCCTTGACAAATGTGTTTCATCTATTTATGGAGCTCAAAGTAAAAAGGCACTGTAGAGGCAAATCAGTCTGTTTAAAACACATGCTGCTGGAAAGGTATATAGAAGTGAAGTCTTTAAAAATCAAGTCATATCTTTAATGACACTAGAATTTAAAAAAAGGGTTCTATTTAAAAAAACTTACTGTGTCTTCAAAAGCAAATGATTTTTTTTGAAAAGTTAATAATCACTTCAAATTATTTTCTGTTTTGGCATGTTTGAATTTCAATATACTAAATAAAATAAGGTACACTTGTTATATACAATTAAGTAATAATAACAATATACTTTTGTTTACTGTGAACTGTTTACACAGTTTACTGTGTAAATTGTTTACTATGTAAATCATAATCATATAATGATATATGATTTGTTTACTGTGATTAAAGATAGCTTTGGCTTTGGAATCAGCTGGATCTGTGCTAAAATCAAGTCCAACAGCCATTTCCCAGCATGTGACTTGGCCTCACCCTCTGTTTTTTTATCTGCAAAATGGTGACAATATGCATCTGTTTGGGTTGAAATGATGTTTACATTTGAAAACATATGCAAAGCACGAAGCACTATACCTGACCCACCCTTCCACACTTCACAGTTTATCATCTGTTTCATATACATTATCTTATTTGATCGTATCAACTAAGTGAAAGGAATTACTTGTGTTTTAATTATGTGGATGGGTTCTGAAGTAAAGTAAGAATAAATAATTTTCTCACAGTAAATGCTTAACTTGAAATTAAGTAATTAGATGTTTTTGATTACCATGGGAATAGGGAATGAGAGAAAGAGGGTAAAAAAACCATATTTTGAGTTACTACCTCAAATCCAGTCTTTTCTCTAATTTACACATCTCAGCAATAGTTGTTGTTCTGTCACTTGGAGATCCCCCAATATGTAGTCAGTTCCATATCCTCAGTAGTGACAGGCTGAGGAGAGCTTAGTGGGATCTGGGGGAATTTCAACTCTATTTCCCAGAAAGATAATACCAGCACTCACTAAAAGCAGTGTTTTCAAACACACAGTGCATGAAGCAGTATTTATGCCATGGGGGGAAGAGGAAGAGGAAGGAAGGAGGACTTGAAATGTGTAGGAATGATAGTTTCTTCCACTGAGACAACAACGGGATAAAAATGAAAGCAAAGCAAATCAAATTAGATCTCTGTATTTTATAAGGAGCAAAAAATAGATTCTTATACATCATTTATAAATACATGCCAGCTGCATTTTAATACTAAATGGGAGAAAGAAATATTTAAATTTATTTTTTAAAACTAACCACAAAAATGCACGCTGTATACAGAATGTCCTATGATGAAAAGCACGGTTTTAATAACTTTTAACAGTTGCAAAACCAGCAACTTACATGACAATTTAATAAAAATCTCTAAATAGTCTCTCATGCTGGAGTAAACTCCTTACATTACAATAGCTTTGGTGGCTTTCTTCAACTAAAGAGATATCTAAATTTGATATGAACCTCAGGTTTCAACATCCATGATTTGCTAGTATATAATTCATTGACACCTCAGGTAACAATTTAAAAGACTTGACCCATTTATGCCTGGTGTTCCATTATTGGAACACTAAGCATGTGGGAGTTATTTATATCCTACTGCTCAAGGTCATCGCCAAGGTCTGATTGCAAAAATTCACAAAATTCCAACCTCAGGCATAATGGGTTAACCCAATTATTTAAGTTCTTAGGTATGGAAAATCATGGCTTATGTAGTAATACCTTTTTTTTTTTTTTTTTTTTTTTTTGAGACAGTGTCTCACTCTGTCACCCAGGCTGGAGTGCAGTGGTGCAATCTCGGCTCATTGCAACCTCCACCTCCTGGGTTCAAGCGATTCTCCTGCCTCAGCCTCCTGAGTAGTTGGGACTACAGGCATGTGCCACCATACCCGGCTAATTTTTTGTATTTTTAGTACAGATGGGGTTTCACCATGTTAGCCAGGATGGTCTCGATCTCTTGACCTCGTGATCCACCCTCTTCAGCCTTCCAAAGTGCTGGGATTACAGGCGTGAGCCACCGTGCCCAGCCACCTATTGTCTTTATAGATGGGCAAAGACAACTTCATAAAGGCAATATTTGTATGAAAAATTTGAAAATAATAACAATAGTTATTATTTCTTGAATTTAGTCACTAAATGAAGTGTTGTACATAAACTCTTTCATATAATTCTTTCAAAACTCAATGATGTGGGCACTACTATTATTCTCACCTTTTCTTAAAAATGAGAAAAAAGACAAGGGAGTAAAGACAAATTACCCACAGAAAAACACTAGTAAATGGCATACTCATGATCGAATCAGTTCTAACACATTTCACAGCCTATTTTCCTACTAAATAAAGCTCACACTGTCAATTCTTAGTAAGTTAGTTTCACAAATCTCAGAATCCTTTAAAAATATTATGTTTAAGTGTTTTAGAAATAAGGAGGTTGACTAGGGTAGTTAAATGAATTCCCCAAACCATCAACAGAAGTACAATAAGAAGAAATTATTGAGCATTTATTAGCACTGTATTGATGGCATCATATGACTACACATTCAATTTGATAATATCCCTGTGAGGGGGGTTACTGTCTGTTCAGTATTCTTATGGTCAGTGAAGGAACACGGTGCAGAGAGCTTAAGTAACCTGCCCAATTGTATACCTAGTAAGTAGTTACTAGCAGTCTGAGTCTAGAGCCCAAGTGCTTAATCAGGGCCAAAAATATGTCTTACTCTGAGAGTTCCCCATAAAAACAGTACCAGGAAGATGTGCAGATTTCTCCCTGAGGGGTAGGGAGTACACAATTGCAAACCTCAAGCACATCAGCCAGGGAGGTTTGGAGAGGCCAAGGATGGATTCATCATGTAGGCTCCAGAGGACTGACTGTCACAAAAATACCTACTTACAATTACTGATAACAGCTTGAGCCACAGAGATATATTATTTAGAGTGACAGCAAGGAAGCATCAGTGCAAATTCATCCTTGCCTTTAGAAGAGTGAGAACAGCTAACAGTCAATTATTATCCATCAAAACATCAATCTTCTATTCCTCTTTCACATCCAAACACTGACCGTAAGGTCATTTTGTTACCTTAGCTTGGAAAAAACATTTCATGTTTCTATTTCTTTACCATATTAAAAAAATAGTACTCTGAATATAAAACAACTTCTGCTTATCTTATCTCACTGGTCAGAAAATGCTGCATTTCTTTTGAAGAGAGTAGACTCAATCTATACAAAGTTAACAGTCAGTCCAATCATCATGCATTTGATAGCCTAAAAAATTTCAAATAAAATTATGTAGCTAAAATTCACTGTTAAACGTGTTGAAGGACATAGTTTTAACATGAAGCAAATGGGAAATCTTTAAAATTAATTATTATAGGGTTTTAAAAAAAATGTAGCCTGAAGCAGAAAGAAAATCTGACCCAGTTTTCCATGTCTCAAAATTCCAATTGCAAGGCATCACATTGCTTCAGTTGGAGCCAGAAAGGGTACATTTGCATTAGTTCTTTGTTCAGAACGTTCTGTTCTGCACCAAGAACTGAAACAAATAAATATTGTATATACCTCCCAAAGTTACTTCAGTTTCCATCCATGGTCCCTAGTGACTGAGGTTCAACTTGTCAACCAATGTCCTCTCCTTTAACTACATGTCATTAACACATTTCAAATGTATGCAGAAATATCATCATTGTCATAAAATGGTATTAATGAGCAAACACAAGAATCATAACCTTGTTCCATCTTGCTACTTGACACCCAGAGAATTAAAATTTAAACTGAATTTCGTTTTTTCAGAATTTTAAAAACTTGTCACCTTGATAACAAAGAGAATATTGTTTTAAAAACTGATGACTGGCTACACTTCAAATTAATTCAAAATTGCATTTTTATCTTCCAGTCTTTGCTTTTACCTTAGAATTTTCTAGAACTTGGCAGTGGTGATTTATAGGCATATAGATAATTTAAAAGTACATTTCTGATCATTCCTAAAAATGGCACCTCCTTCTTCAAATTATTACTGTTACCTTTGCACAAATTACATTATCAAGAAAAATAAGTAAGTGAAATACTTAATAAGGCTGCAGTATATTAACATAAATTAGCACAAAGCTCAGCATCTCATGAGTTTTAACTAAAATGCCTTCCACTATCCATACCACTACCCCGCTAAGAAACAAAACAAAATAAACTTTCAAAACCTCATTTTATTTTTTACAGAATAAAATATTTCTACCCTCATCTTCTTTTCTCTTTAGCCTTAACATATTCACTTTTCCAGAACATATTTCTCCATTCATTTATTTCTTTTTCTCCAGCCAAAATCATATGCACTTTTCAAGTACTGGTCCAATATTTTCTCTTCTGTAGAAGATTTCCTGATTTCTTTTCACAGTCATAATTAATTGTTTCCTTGGCATGAACTTTTCAAAGAACTTTTATCATAAAACATGCCATATTCTGTAGGACATAGAGGGGGTTTCCACGTCTCATTCATTGATGGCCATTGTCTAGTCATAAGCACATACAGTAGGTTTATCATGGTTAACAATTACCAAAATCAGATGCAGGGATTACTAAGATCAGACTCCAGGTATGTTCCTGGCATCTTACTTCAAAGTTCAAAATAGAATTAACTCACTCTTGAAAAAGTCTTTCCTTCCTGAGACCAATATTATTTTGCTGTAACACCCTCTACTCCATCCTTTCATCATTTCTTCAACTGACCTCCAGGTCATTTTACATTCATAGAGAAAATTAGCTCTTGGCGTATAGTCTACTTCTCCAACCTAACTCATGAAATGGTATTCAGCAATTCCAACACATGGAGATAACCTATCCAATTTTCTAGCTTCTCAGTCTTTTTTATCCCCTCCCCTGTAGAACATTTATCCCCAAATCACTTCAGCAACCCATTCATATAACCCGAATCTGTAGACTACCACATGACTCAGAATTAGTGCTGCCTGTAAAATCTTTACGCTATTTCAGCTCCTTCATTCCTTTATCTTTTCTGAAATCCTGGAACCTCTAATTTCTTGAACTGCGCATTTTCTGTCCATCTATCAGTTCTTCATCTTTTTTTTTCATTTTTTACTAGCCCTAGTGAATCATTTACATTTTTCTTTTATCAAAAATCTCAGTCAACTAATCTATTTGCTGTTCATCAACTCTAAATCATTTCTAAAATCTCCCTGTACTTTTTTACTTTTTTTTTTTTTCACATCGGGGCTGCAAAATACAGATGAATGAAAAATCTTTGCACTGACAGACTGGTTCAGTATTAATTTGTGATTTCCTGAGTGTCCTCAAACTCAATAACATACCTAAACCAAACTCATCTAATTCCCAACTAAACTCTGCTCCATTTACCATACTTTTTCTCTCACTTAATGGAACCAACCAATTATTACAGATACTTCAATTCAAACACCTTGTAAAGCAAGGAATTCTCCTAAATGTCTATAAAATAGGTCCATCTTTTCAATTTCTATATCACTTACTTAGTGGAAGCTCTCAATGTTTCTCACCTAGATTAGATCTGTGGCCTCTTAACTAGTATTCTGTTTTCAGTTTTTAAAATCTATTTTCCATGTTGTTGGCAGGGTAATCATTTTGAAATTCATATCTGACCACATCACTCTCCTAATTTAAAAATACTAACCCCTAGGGTATAAGGTCCTTTAAAATCAGACCTCAGAGGATCTCTTGTCTTCAGCTGCTTCTTCAACTTCTTTACTTTATAGTCGCTATAGCCATAACGAACCATTTGCAGCACCCTTGCAACCTCCATGATGTGGATCTTTCTGTTTGGAATGAACCCCATCCTCTTTCCACCTGTTAATTCCTACGATTCCTTCAATACATAGATCCAAAATCACATCCTTTGTGAAGCCTGCCCTAGTTTTCCTATGGCTTTATAATAACTAGGCAAAATTAAACTCTCCCTTTTTTGTACATCCAATGGCCTTTTCTCTTCCCTCTACTGCGGCATGTCCTTAATCTGTGTAGTAATTATTTCTAACGTAGCCCTCTTAACAGTCTGTATGTTTCTTAAAAGCAGGAACCATGCCATATTCATCTTAGTCTTCCTAGTACATAGAACAAATCCAGATAAACAGCAAGCACTGAATATACATTTGTCAAATGACTATATTAGAGACTGTGAGAATAAACTGCCCTTGTCACATTAAAGGCCTGTGGACGCTCAGGTTGACTAGATACATTGTATTTCAATTCAGAGGCTGTTTCAAAAGTGGATCCCATAAATGCTTCCATATACAGCAAGATAAGGGACAAACTGAGGAAACTGCACATACACAATGCCACACACAGAACTGGACAGGACTGAAGAAAATTGCACCAGAAACTATAGATAACTGAAAATTAAATTATATGACACTACGTCATGGTGTCAAAGAATGAATAGGACTCTGCTGTTAGCCCCAAAGTTTAATCCCATCTTTAGTTTGGCTGTAAGACTTTCAATCAACAATTTAATGTTTCCAAGATTTGATTGCTGTACCTACCTAATGTAGACATTAATACAGAATTCAGGAAGGATTGTTATGGAAATTATGTGAGTCCTTAGCCACAGTGACTAGTTGGTTATAGACAGTTTATTTATGGTAGTTCTTTTGGCCCATGGAGCTAAATATGTATGTATCTATATCTATCTGCATTTACAATGTTTTTTAAATGTATGTTTAGAATGCATAAGCCTCATAGATAATAGGTTATAAACTTATCAAATCTATATGGTAGTCTTTGCACAACAATATTTCTGCTCATCTGTGAAGAAACTGCCTTGGTTTAAATAGATTATTATTAAGGAATTAAAATCTATTTCTCTCCTCAATAATTTATAGGCAACTTGAAGGTTTTAAATGACAAATTTATTAAAAATTAAAGTAAATAAAAACCAAGCAATGGAAGCAGACAAAGGAATGATTGATTGATGGAGTTACATGCAAGAAAGGCTAACATATTATAAATTTTTCTGTACTAGCCTGGATGTCTGAAAGATATTCTAGCACATAGTTCCAAGCAGGTGCAAGACGGTACTACCTTTGGGTCTGGTGAGAGACAGGATTCATATAATCGAGTTCTGATTTGTATTCCTGGGTGTAAATCTTGGTCTTCAGATCACCCTTCTAGCCAGATAATAGCCAACCTTCACTCTACAGCTGCCAAGGTATCTGTATAGCTTACCCTGGTCCTTGTTGAAGCACTTTTCTGATGGCTACACAAATAGTCTTTCCCTAAGTCTCAGGTCTTTCATTTCTGACTCTATTCTCCTTCTCTGGAAATTTAATATGCTCTGGGAATTTATACATGCTCTATCACCGAACCTATTTTCCCACAGTTCACTTTTAAATTAATTCAACAAATATTAATTAATCATCTACATTTGCAGGGTGTTATGCTAGACATCAGGGCCGGGAGTAAAAGGATGGTGATCAAAGTAAGAAGAGAGACACAAACAAAATAAGGAGAATTGTTCTACAGTCCAAGGACTCAATGTCTTATCAGAAGAGACATATGAAGACAAATAATTGTAAGAAAATATGAAATTTTGCTTTGTTTGAGGTATGCTGAGATGTACAGTGGAAGTTTAGGCATTTTTCAGACTAAAGATAGATATTTACTTAATATTTCCAGTGTGCAGCAACTACATGTTCCCAATAAAAATTAGAATACAATATATTTAAAATAAATTTAAATGTGAATAAAATGTATTTTCCAATTTATGAATTTATACAAAAAGTACATCAAAGGTATATACATAAAAATATTTTATTCATTTACCATATTACCTTTATAGAGAAAAAAACAAACAAAAACTTTATATTATCTGAAACACATAGCATGTATATTCTTTATATTAGCAATTTCTGGATACTGAATAGCCACTGTCAGGGAACCAAAAGGGCAGACTGGCTAAAATTCTTCATATGGTACTTGAACTGATTTGGAATATAGCAGAGCTCTGGTTCCACTACTAGGGCTTTGTTTGTTCCAATTTCCATCTGGCCCTGTTGACCTCCAGTCCCGTTGATCTGCCTGCCAGACTGCTAAGATTCTATAGTCTGTCAAAGGCATCACTACCTCAGCTCTCTGGCTGTTTAGAAAACAAGGAAGAGCAGCATGCCTCAAAGCTCAATGAAGCATTTTCTTTCTAGTTTCCTTTTGCTATATCTTATTATTATTACTACTATTATTATTATTAACTTTTTTATTCTGACATTACTTGTATATTCACATGTAGTTGTAAGAAATATTACAGAGAGATCCTTTGCACACTTTACCCATTTCCTACAATAGTAACATATTGCAAAGCTATAGTAAAATATCATAACCAGCATATTAACATTAATACAATCCACTAATCCTATTAAGATTTTCCCAGTTTTACTTATACTCTAGTGTGTGTGTGTGTGTGTGTGTGTGTGTGTGTGTGAGAGAGAGAGAGAGAGAGACAAAGAGAGAGAGAAAGAGAGAGAGACAGAGACAGAGAAAGAGAGCAGTTCTATGCACTTTTATCACATAGTCAGGCTCATGTGTCCACCGCAAGAGTCAAGATACAAAACAGTTCCATCACCAATAAAGATCCTTGTTTTGCATTTCTATAACCACATCCACCTCCTTTCTTCCCAACCCACACTCACTCCCCCAACACCTCTAGCAACCACAAAATTATCTTACATGGTTTCCTGGCATCGATAACTGATAGTTAATATAATATTATCAGCTACCAAGAATAAAATAATTGGCTAAAATTTTTGAGTGAAGTGCTATCTCTTCCTATTAGCAAGCACTTTTTCCTTATTTACCTATGGTTTGATAATCAGATGAATTATTTTACGTAAAGACTTCTCAGAGCTTTCTTTGTTTGTTTGTTTTAATAAATTGTTCAATTTACTTCTGCTACCTGAAGCTCCTAGATGCATTAAAATGATGAATTTTGAAGATTGAGCTGGCTGGTCAATTGAGAGATATATGCGCAATGAAATGAATATGGGATTCTGGCATTTTGAAAACTACTCTGAAGACCAAAAAGTGGGAAAAAAAGAATATGTTATTGATGTTCATCCATGTTAAATAAAAACATTTCATTAAGGAAGATCCACATAGACATCAGTGCAATCAATTCCAAATATTCAATCAACAAAGATTTTTTTCCTTTCTGCTGCTTCTCTCTTCCTTTATGCTATGTCCAAAATTTCATGCTCTTAGAGATTAACACAATTTATTAATAATTAATATGTTTTATAAATTAAAAGCATACAGCTGTCAATCAAAACTTCCGGCCAACATACGAAAAATAATGCTACCACACTGATTGACATAATTTGAGTAAAAAAAAATTTAGTTAGTCAAAATAATCTTATCATACAGAAACATGAAAAAAATATAATTTTTTTATAATGATAAAAATATATCCCAAATCCCTATTACTACAGTTACAGAATCCTGGGGGATAGAAAACTTAGTGTAGGCTGAATTATTTTCTCCAAGTTTATAAACCTATGTCTCATCCCAACTGGGACTCTCTAAGCTCTCTCACCATGTTTTATTTAACTTAGAATTTGTGGGAATAAGCAGCTTTAAGAAATGTCTCTCCACTCAAAATTTTAAAAGCTACCGTAATAATTAATAGCCTTCAATCCTTAATATACTATTGATGTAATTAATTCCTCAGTAATGATTTCTTTATACAGGTATAAAGAGGAATCTAATTTCGGAAAGGACAGCTTTCTATTCCTTTAAAAAATGTTCCTGTAACTTTAAATAACATATTCGTAACATTACAATTCTTTTTTCCTATAGGGCTTTCACTTCAGCCCAAGATATAGCATACTGATCAAGGGCACAAATTTTGAAGTCACCCAGATGTTGGCTAAATTTTTTTTTTGGACAAGCTATTTAAACTCCCTAAGCCTCAGTCTCCTCATCTGTAAAGTTGGGATAATGACATGAATGCATAGTGCTTTGTACACAATAAGGGCACAATAAATATCCTTGGTACAATGGCTAATGCACATATAAAATAACAAAATTTTAGACAAGGCCATTTTACTATTGATTGTTCATATATTTACTTTCATGTTTTACATAAATCTGTCAAAAGTCTACAATTTTGTGTATTTTTCATTTACCTCTCATTACTTCAGAAAATTAAACAAAATTTATGTCCTTAATATGGATCTCTAGACATGAATGATTATTGGATGACTATATATGAGGCAGGAAAATAGGGTCTGGAGGCAGGGAACATACGGCCGATTCACACTTCAGCTATGACAGGAAATATCCTCTCCATAGAGTGTAGGCCAAGTAAATGACTTTGTAAATTTACTTCACCCTCTTCATTTACACAGGGCGTACTCCAAGTAACCAATGGAATCCTCTAAGGGTATTTAACTCCCCCAAAATTTGTAATGGAGCCTTTGAGCCCCTATGCTTGGGCCCACTCACACATTGTGGAGTGTACTTTCATTTTCAATAAATCCCTTCATTCCTTCCTTGCTTTGTTTGTGCGTTTTGTCCAATTCTTTGTTCAAGATGCCAAGAACCTGGACACCTTTCTACCATTAACATATGTACTTAAAAAAACAAAAAAAGTACATGGCTTTGTGGTTAGATGGAGGTTGCATTGTGATGTTTAGTTGTATAACATTAACAAGATATTTATCTTCTCTATGCCCCAGTTTCCTCATGCACAAAATGGGATAATACCACTGAGCTCACAGCATTATTTTAGGAACTAAATGCACCATGCTTGATACTCCCGCAACATTCCTGCAAAAATTGCATTTTCTATTACTACAAAAATCATGGTAAGCAAACTAGACCTTGCAAACCAGACCAGTGTTTCAAAAATAGTAAAATAGGCTATATTTTAATGCCTCTCCTTTTAATGTATACTCTAATGTTCTGATACTGATTTCAGAATAAATGCACAAGTAGTCTACCATGGCAAATAGAAAGGCATTATTTTCTTCTTTGTGAATGACATAACCATATCGTTACATATTAAGAGTTGTATCAGGGATTAACTAGCACTAGTAGCTACTTATTGCTAAAGGAATGACTTAACATAAATTATGCTCACATGATTTTAGTATTTTACTACTTTACCCAGGGGTACATTTCATAGCATCAAGAAAATACCATTCTGATCATATATGGTTATCAGATTTTTCATGAGGGAAAAAAATTGATGCTGATAATGTAAATCTTTGATTTACCAATATAATTTCCTAAAAAGTCTCCATTTAGTACTTAAAAGCATCAACCTTTAATCACAAACCAGTCTCCTTGTCATGCCATCACAATTATTAAAAATATAACCATCATTCTAAATCCCTTTACTCTGAGAGAGCAATTGTTTATTGACAAGGCTTAAACCAGCAAAAACCTACAGTGACTCCTTAAAGGTCTATCTGCTGAAATATTCCCTAATTTTTGAGTAATGTATAACCACTTCTGCTGTTGTAAAGTGACATTGACCTCTATTTTTCAGCAAGTGGGAAAAAAATATAGTTGAAAGAGTTACATTGTTATAGGTACTTCAACTTGAGAATAAAATTATAAAATGTTATACATAATGATATTAAGGCTTGAATGAGGTAACCTAAGTTGAAACAATGAAGAAGCGTCTTACATGGTCAGGAGAGAAGAAAGAGGAAGACTATCTCCTTGAAGGTGTCAGCCTTCTTGTAGGCAATCTACATGGCTCTCCCATTCAAGTTTTTGTCAGCTCTATCCAAGAGGTGTCACCAGCATCCCCATTGTACTGATAAGACACAAAAGCTCTCAGAGGACCAATAACTTGTCCAAAGCCATTAAGAATACATCCAAGATTTAATCTTCACCTATCCAGGAATTTCTATATCATCAGGTGTCAGAACAGACTCTGTTGTAAACAATAACCTTATGCAAATCTCGTAAGCATTTCACCCAGTCTTTATTCACCCTGATAGCAACCATCTACTGCCTCACAGGTATGGATCAAAAACATCTGAAAAATTTTCTGTATTCTCTTTGGAAGCAAGATAGCACATAAATCCCAAAGGTTACTCTGCAAAAACCTTGAAGAGAAGTATAGCTTCACGACTACAGGTAAACTATTCCTTTCTTTATTTTATTTTATTTTATTCTAATTATTTTTGAGACGGAGTCTCGCTCTGTCGCCCAGGCTGGAGTGCAGTGGCGCGATCTTGACTCACTGCAAGCTCTATCTCCTGGGATCACACCATTCTCCTGCCTCAGCCTTCTGAGTAGCTGGGACTACAGGCATCTGCCACCACGCCCGGCTAATTTTTTGTATTTTTAGTAGAGACGGGGTTTCACCATATTAGCCAGGATGGTCTCGATCTCCTGACCTCGTGATCCACCCACCTCGGCCTCCCAAAGTGCTGGGATTAGAGGTGTGAGCCACCACGCCCGGCCAACTATTCCTTTCTTATTTGAATTCTTATGAGCACGAAGTACTCATTCTGCATTAAAAATAACATTTTAACTACAAAGCTTCTCATTGGAGCACTGATCTCTAGAAAGCCTAAATTGTAGTACCAGGTGTTTTACCTTGTGTTTGCCATTGGGTCAGATACTTGAAATATCAGTGCCTCCATTTTCTCACCTGTCAAATGTGATTTCCTATCTAGCTTGTTTGCATAATGGGTGGAGAAAAAGAGTAAGGTATATGCAAAAGTGTTGGGAGATTGACCAAAGTGCCAAACGTAAAGTGGCAGGAGAAGTATTGTTGCAAGTAAAAGTATAGTCAATTGTGAAGTTATTTCATATCAAGATCCTCTGTCTTCCAATGTGGTTAACCATGTTAAGGTAAAATGATTCAATTCTTTTTTCTTCTTCTTCTGTTTGAGACAGTCTGGAGTGCAGTGGCGCAATCACAGTTCACTGTTGCCTCAACTTCCTGGGCTCAGGTGATTCTCCCACCTCAGCCTCCCCAGTAGCTGGGACTACAGACTAATTTTTTATATTTCATGTAGAGGCGGGGTTTCGCCATTTTGCCCAGACTGGTCTCGAACTCCTGGGCTCACGCAATCCATGGTCCTGGGCCTCACAAAGTGCTGGATTACAGGCCTCAGCCACCATGCCTGGGCAAGGGATTCAATTCTGATATTATTTCGCTATAGGTTTTATGCTACTTCTTCTAATTGCTCAGAGTTTTGCCAGGGAAGCAAAAAGTATTATTTGCCCAACATATGATTGGCCACATAAGTATTTAAGAGTGAATAGTATATATGTGAAGAGTGTACTAATAATACACCATTCCTCAATTTAGAGTAATTAAAAGCCAACAGGAATCATTTTTATAAGGATAAAATTAAGACATTTGCCATTACACGGTTAAAAGTTGTTACCTATGCACTTTTTAGGTAATTTATTTGAGTACATTTAATGCTTTTTGAGTACTGTGTTTTCCTTTTGTATATCTGGATTTATAGTATAATAGATGCTTAACTTTTAGCCTTTATTTTTTATGCTAAGAACTTTAAGAACTTCTGACATTTTAAATCTCAACACTAATGATAAACATCGTTTTATGCTAGAAGCTAAAAATTGATAGGCTCCTGCACCTTTCAATGGTCACACACTCTAGCAGTTACTAATTTTCCAACCCAGTACCTGAAGATGACATTTTGATAAATTAGCAAAGAACTTTCTGAACCACGCATTAGTTCAATATATGAAAAAGTATACCTTCAGTACTGACATTTTGTTCCCAAAATAGCTTCATGCCCTTTGTCCATTTTGAAATTTTTAAACAGAGCTACTTATAGAACTTCTGAAAAAAAACCACCAATAACTTATAATTAGCAAATGGCACACTTCTATTTCTCATCTCATCACACTCAAAAGCATAGCATTTTTGAGTCCAAAAATGTTTTTCTAGAACAAAACCTGACATGATACTTCATAATCCTCCTGTAAACAAATGAATGACACATCACTGTTTTTGTCCTTACTATAAGTTAAAAGGTGACTAAGTGAGGTTAAAGTTAACTCTCTTGGCATCAAGCAATGGGCCAATAGTTAAAATAAAAATGGAAAGAATGCAGTAACATAGTCCAATGCTCTATCCTTTCTTCATGCCACATTTGAGATGTGATATTAATAATCACAACAAGGCACCAGGCACCTATGTTCTCAGGATAATGATGACAATTTTCAAATTCCATGAAAATTAAGATCTAGAATTCAACACTTTCAGTTTATCTGCTTTCTCCCTATTTATAGGAAAAAATCAGCTTAAAGATAATTTTGAAATAAAAATATTACCACTACAGTAAAACTAACACTTTTTTTAGTATATTAAATTTCAGACATGCATATTCCTTACAAAGTTTTAATTATGCTGTAAACAAGATTTTGTGTTTTTATTTTTTAAAACCTTACATCACATAATAGTTTTAAACTGCTTTATCTAACAATGTATGCATAGGTAAACAGAAGTTCTATACACCATCCCACATTTGCCCAGTATTTGAATGGTGGGGTTGGTTTTTGATTGGCACCAATGGTCAGTGGTAGCTAGTTCTGTTAAAAAACTTGTATTATAACAAAAATACTAGGAAGCACCCAAAAAGGACCATTTAATGCTGAAGTTAGAAAAAACAATATTGTAAGGTAAATTGTGTCCCCACAAATTCACCTATTGAAGTCTTGATCCCCAGTACTTCAGAATGCAACCTATTTGGAAATAAGGTTGCTGTGGGTGTAACTAGTTGAATTAAGATGAGGACTTAGTGAAATAGGGTGGTCCCTAATCCAATATGACTGACATCCATATAAAAAGAAAGCCAAGTGGAGAGACAGTCATGCACACAGGGAGAGTGTTATGTGAGGATTAGAGTTTTGCTGCCACAAACTAAGGATCTACCAGAAGGTAGCGGAGAGACGGGAACAGATCTTTTCTTAGTGCATTCAAAGGGAGCATGGCCCTGCCAAACACCTTAACTTCAGACTTCTGGCCTGAAGGGACAAAATTTTCTGTTGTTCTAAGCCACCCAGTTTGTGGTACTTTGTTACAATAGCCCTGGGAAACTAATAGAAACAATATAAAACAAGATTGTATTACATTGCCCTCTACACACCCAATAAATGTAACACCTTCCTAACAAGTCTCACTGTCTCTTCAAGTCATTCTACCTATTGTCACCACATTGTTTTTTCTTAAAGTAAGAACATACTCATAGGATTAAAACCCGGCAATGACTTCCCAGTGTCTACAGGAAAAAAATAAACACTGCATGCAAACATAACAATCATATTATAGCTTTACACTTATGATAATCCACTATGGACTATGCATGGGGGTTTGCCATATCTATTACATCTTCACAGAATACCCTTGAACAAAGTATTAGTATTCCCATATTAAAGATAAAGAAACTGGCCTGGTGCAGTGGCTCACGCCTGTAATCCCAGCACTTTGGGAGGCCGAGGCGGGCGGATCACTTGAGGTCAGGAGTTCAAGACCAGCCTGACCAACATGGTGAAACCCCGTCTCTACTAAAAATACAAAAATTAGCTGGGCACGGTGGCTCATGCCTGTAATCCCAGCTACTCAGGAGGCTGAGGCATGAGCATTGCTGGGACCCATGAGGCAGAGGTTGCAGTGAGCTGAGATCATGCCACTGCACTCCATCCAGCCTGGGTGACGGAGTGAGACTCTGTCTTAAAAAAAAAAAAAAAAAAGAAAAGAAAAGTAAAAAGAAACTAAGACTTAGTGAGAAAGTGAATTGTCCATGGCCACAACACTGAAGAATGGCCAAGCCTTTCACACAGGGTTGTCTTCCTCAAAGACATACACAGATAGCTATCCCATGAAAATAGCAATAATTCCAAATCCCTTCCAGATATGGCTTCTACTTGTGTTGTACTTCAATATCATTTCTTCGTTTTTCACTAGCCAGCCTCTACACCACTATATTACCCTAAAATGCACGCATTTTGGTTTGTGAGTCTTTTAGTTGAGCCTGGTATTTTTCTGCTCATTACTTCTGCTGGCAATATTTTCTTCTTCTGCCTTAAAAACCCAACTAAACTGATAACTACTTTCACATATTTAAGACTTGGCGACTGTCTCTTCTTCTGTGAAGTCTAGTTAGATTCTCCCTAAGGAAATTTTGATCACTGCCTATTTTCTGAACTCATAATAATCTGGACAAATGCCAATTATAGTATTTAAATGATCATATTATTCACAGGTCCGTTTCTTCCTACTAGACTGTAAGCTTCTTAAGGAAATCACATTGTATCCCTTGTGCCTTCAATTGAAGATAAATAAATGTTTGTGAATTACACGCATGAATGAATGAGACATAATACATTATTAAATTAAGAAGTTATATATGTTTCCAGGTTTTGCTATTATAAAAAAATGGGGTCTGGCATGGTGGCTCACGCTTGTAATCCCAGCACTTTGGGAAACCAAGACAAGCGGATCATGAGGTCAGGAGTTCGAGACCAGCCTGTCCGATATGGTGAAACCCCGACTCTACTAAAAAACATACAAAAGTGAGCCAGGCGTGGTGGTGCACACCTGTAGTCCCAGCTAATCGGGAGGCTGAGGCAGGAGAATCACTTGAACCCAGGAGGCGGAGGTTGCAGTGAGCCAAGATCAAGCCACTGTACTCCGGCCTGGGCAACAGAGTGAGACTTGAACTCAAAAAAAAGGGAATTTCAGAAAAAATAGCAACCAAATAAACTGTGAAAATCTATATAGAATCCTGGTACAGAAAAAGATGTTACAGAATAAAATTGGTGAAATTCAATTAAAGTCTGCAATTTAGATAATAGTATCATACCAATGTAATTATTTGGTTTTCATCACTGTAACATGGTTATGCTAGATGTTACCTTCAGGGAATCTGGGTGGGGTGTGTTGGGTAAATCTCTGTCTTATTTTCACCATTTTTCTTCAAGTCCAAAATTAGTTTTTTTAAAAAATGTTTTAAAAAAGAAGTATACATATCTACTGTTCCCACAATTTTATCTGTTAAAATGTATCCTAAGGGAATAATCAGAACATCCCACAGTGCTGTACGTGTGTGTGTGTGTGTGTGTGTGTGTGTGCATATGCGTGTGTTTCATTATGGCAATGTTTGAAAAATTAAAATGGAAATAACCTAAATGCCCAACAAATCCAACAAATAATGTTACATCACACAAAGCTATATTCTGCCATGAAAATTATCATATTTCTTTAGAATTATTGGCATACATGGGTTGTTGTAATCCATTATCATGTTAAAAAGCAGAATGAAATATATGTAAAGTACAATGTGATTATGTTTATTCTTTTTTACTTTTTATATTTTATGTCCAAGAAGTTCCTATCTCTGAATATGTGCAAAGGAACTGATCTTGAACAATATACAATAAAATGTTAACATTTTCTTTTTATGTGAGTTAGGATAATGAGTGTTCTGTTTGTTGATCTGTGTTTTCTGTAGTTCTAATAATGCAATTAAAAACTATGTTGTTTTTAGAATTTAAGATGTCTTAATGCTGAGTGCCATTAAAAAACTATTATGAATAAAGCTTCTCATCTTTATTGACATTTTAGTTAGTATTCATGCAAATGAACTTTTAAAAAACTTTTCACTGGAGCAGAGTTTTCACCTTCAGGACAGCAATGAATGTACAACACATCCAAAAATAACTGGGATCATCTTCAAAGAAGGAGCATCACCAAGAGAGTCCCTGTTAGGGAATGGTTGATCCATTAATCAGATTTCTATAAGGAGACATCCTTAAACTCTGACATCCTCTGATTAAAACAAGACTGTATCAACACAATTTCTAACAACACAATTTCCCTTCAAAAACAATAACTTGTTTTAACACCAATACATTAGGCATTTTTTCAACTCCCTTCATAGTGTAGCTTTTAACTCTGACTGTATAAATTGCATATAAAATGACATACATTTTGGGGAAAATACATCTGAGCTAATGGTTTGGTCCAGAATTACATCGATTGTATCCTATCAATAGGACATTTCATTTTCTAAAGGAGGATACTTAGGCTTATATTTATCTACATCAATGGTCAGAGGTGGGAAAAGCTGATAGTGTCATAGTGATTTTATCAGGAACTCAAAATTATATATATATATATTTACTACAACATTATGATATCACTTATCAGGAACTCAAAGTCAATTGACATATAAGAGAAGATGTAAGGTCAGAGCTTTCATGACAGGCATGATGCTTTCTCCAAGTATATCACAATTTATATCCTCAATCACATACAACAGTATGGTAAAGTATGAATTCACCCATTAGATGCCTGCAGGGACACAAGGATGAATAGCCATTTTCTGTCCTTCATGTGTTCAGGAAAAGTGTCAGGCATATAAAGAAAATGCATTTTGGAAGCACTAAGTTATAATGCCAATGGAAGGCCGAAATTAATACCAATTACAAATCCAAAAAAACATGAATAATTATGACAAACTTCATATTAGGGAAACAATGTACCAAGAGAATTTGGTCACTACTATTTTAGATCTTTCAACAACAGTTTATTTCTTTTCTCTGCACATTAAGAAATGCATAAAACCACATAGGTAAAATTTAAATGTTTCCCATTGAAATACATATCTTTTTAACTTTTTTATGTTGTCCTAGCAACTATTTCTGAATACATACCCAATAGAATTTTTTTGATAACAAGATTTAAAGTAGACAGAAGATTAGCACTGTTTACACATGCGAGATTCCTCAATGTCAATTATGTAAACCTTGTCATTTCCGCAGAAATATAATGATGTATTTATATAACATTTATCTTCAAAATGTCTAAATGGCTCGACAGTTGTGCCATTCTGCCACTGTACTAGTGCATTCTCAAGCTGCTAATAAAGACATACCCGAGACTGAGTAATTTATAAAGGGAAGAGGTTTAATTAACTCACAGTTCAGCATGGCTGGGAGGCCTCAGGAAACTTATAATCATGAAGGAAGGGGAAGCAACTACGTCCTTCTTCACATGGCGGCAGGAAGGAGAAGTGCAGAACACAGGGGAGAAAAGTCCCCTATAAAACCAACAGATCTCATGAGAACTAACTCACTGTCATGAGAGCAACTTGGAGGAACCACACTCACAATCTAATTACCTCCCATGAGGTCCCTTCCCCAACACATGGGGATTATAATTCTAATTACAATTCAAGATGAGATTTTGGTTGGGGACACAGAGCCAGACCATATCAACCACCTTTTTTTGACAAATGAAGCAAGATGTATTTCTTGTATGTTGTCAATATTGGAATCTATTTAACAAATATTTATAAGGACCAACCATATGCCAGTCACTAATACGGAATATATTATGAGCTCAGAAACATTCAAATCATTACCCCTGACATTAAAGAACTCACCTAGCAGTGGAAATTCAGAGCATTTTGGGGAGTGTTTAAATACAAACACATATAAAATAATAATAAATAATGTAAGCAGTGTGATTTAGAGAAAAGAGCACCGAACTTGAGACTTTACATCTGGATTCAAACTCAGAGCTTCTACTCACTAATTGAATGATCTTAACTTCTCTGCGACTCAGTAATCTCATCTCTGACATGATACATAATAACACATAAGGCATAATACAGTTTCCACACTTTGCATGTGGCTCTGAGGATTCCATGAGAACATGTATGAAAGCATCAGAAGAGTACTTTACCCACAGAGGGTGTTCAATGAATGGAAACTTCCTTTCCCTTCGCGCAATAATCACAGCACAGGAAATTGTTAACACTGTCCAGTGCTCATTTTTTTAACACTTTTAATTGTTCCCTCACTCAAGCTACCAATTTCCTTATCATAAACAGATGATGTGACTATATTTATTCTAGAAGTATCTTCATGCACAATAAAGTGATTTTGTATTTCTAAAATTTAGATGCCAATTCCATTTAGGATTCTTCATTACTAGGAAGAATCATCTCAGTAAAAAGATAAGAGATGGTAGATACAATCTGTTCTAAATAAATGTTGTGGGCTTTCTGAGAACCATTTGAATTTTTTTAAAGTTCATTTTAGGTCCAATTGGGAGAATAGCCCTTAAAATGTACTGATAAATATTTTGAGTTTTTTGTTTCTGCAAAAAAGTATGATTTTTATTATTCAGAAAATACCATTCTTTTAGCTAAGATATGTGCATAATTCAATAGGGATCCAGTCCAACTGTTTCATATTTTGGAGAAGCACATTTTTTAACAATTCATATTGTTTTGGCACAGAAATAAATTACAGTGCTGAAAGGCCCAGAATAAATATAATGACAGCATACCTCATGCTGAATACTCCTCCATCTTCCCAACATTTTGCTAAAGGGGAAAAACACCTAAGAAGTACTTCTGTAGTTCTTTCAAACAATGTACTCCTACTCATCAGGCAGGATTCCTTTGGGAAAAAGACTGCTCATAATGGAAAAAAAAAAAAAAGTAGCAGTGATTCACAGATTTTAAACTGATAATCTTCAAGAAGCGTGACTTTCAGATATCTGTGAATCCTCTGTCTATACTTGAGCATTTTCTATAGTCATTGACCTTACTGGACATACTAGTGCAGAAAAGATGGAATGTTTAGAAATAAAGCATGTTGAAAACTGTTCCCAGCTCAGCTACCAATACATTTCTAGTCATCTCTCAACTGCAGCTTTTTTCTGATTCATTTGTGGGTGGTTTTAATATCTTTAGGAGCTTCTCTTGTTCAGCACGGTTCTTTACAATACCTTTCCAATGCTATTTATTATTTTGGCACTAGCTTCTATATATGCAAGAACTTTCTTTTTTACAGCATAAAATGTGTTTTCCCATATATATTTTTAAATAAAGTTTTTGAAAAGTTGTTTTTGTCCTGTTTTTTCCTTGTTTCAACAGAAGCATTTATCAGTATTCCTTTTCTGCTGTAAAACCTTAATAAGTTAAACAACTTTGTGCAAAGAAAATTTTGATTCATGGAATTTTTTTAGCAAATCAGCTATCATTGTTAACATAATCATTGTTATGTGTCTGTCTTAAACAGCTTTTCCTTATAAGCACTTAATGTTCCATTTTAAGTCTTACAACAATGAAAGGAAGATACAACTAAACACTTTTTCAGATGAGAGCACTGAGACTCAGAAATGAGAAAGAAGTTGTCTGAAGTCATATAACTATTAAATGATAAAGTCAGGATATGAACCCAAGTTCACCTACTCCAAAGTCCATGCATTTACCATCTATCCCACTGAATTTTGAAATGGAAAATAATTATTTATAGTTAAGTATCAAATGATGCTTTTAAAATGCATAATAAACTGACTTACAACTTCCCTGCAGTGTGCTTTATACTTGGTATAAAAATAAGACTCCCAGGCTAGTTCCTCTGTACTTTAATGTGCATAGTTAGTTTAGGATTTCTCCAAATACCTATGGAAAAGTATACTGTTGACATTTTGGGCAGGAAAATTTTGTGTTGGGGTTATGGAGTTACCTTGTGAATTGTGAGATTTAAAACAGCATTCCTAGTCTTTATGTAATAGAGATACCAGTAGCATCTCCCAATTTGTGACAACCAAAAATGTCTTATTTTGAGAATGCCAAAATGTCTTAAGTTGAGAACCACTGATATGAGTTAAAGGAAATTGATGAAATCATATGCTAATGGCTAAGAAAGACCCGAATGAAAACATCTGGAATCCTTCCAAAGATTCACAGAAAATCAAACATCTATTATTTCAAAAGGAGTAAGAATAGAAAACAACAGAGCCATCTTGAAATACACAGATACTTCAAATGGATAAATTATGAATAAACTTTAAGCTGCACAAATTATTCCAATAATTTTTAATATACTTCATGAAATTAAACATAGATGAACAGATATTGAGATTTCATGACTGATAGACACCTTAAATTGTACAACCTCCTCATTTCTTAGGTGAGAAAACTAAGATAAAGTGATTTGGTCAAGGCTGACATACTTTTTAAATGTAGCAGAACTATGTCTAGAAGCAAATTATTTTAGTCTCAGTTCATTATTACTGCCGTATGTATTAACTTTAGGATTCCATAAATAGCTCTGTAAGGGCCTATTTGGCAATGGAATTGGGCACTCATACTTTTCTTCTTAAGATAATGTTCTTTGTCATCAATGCTTGTGAGCTGAAAGAGGTATTCAGCAGCCATGGATAAAGTGAAAGATAACTTGTTTATCCTTCAGTGGAAGGGGAAGAGAATTATAAGCCATACACGGAGAGTCAAATGATTAAGGAATTTACTAGGTACAAACAGTTGCGTGACTCTTGTCATTTGAGTTCTAACAGAACAGACCAATGCCTTCAGCAATCAGCCTACAGCAATTTAATTAATAAAGTCCTGCTGTGGTCTGATTCGCCAAGGTTCCAAATGCTATTGCATGCACCCTGCTTCCTGCTCTGATTTGCCTGTTACCATGCTCATGGTATAAACAGATGGCTATTTATATTAACGATATGGGTAAACTTATCTTTTAATCAATGAAATGGTATTCTAACGACTTTCGCTAAGTGGCCCAAAATGCCAGATTATGCTATTTACTAATGATTCCATATTGTTTATAGTTATGAATTGTAACTTTATTAAGAGATAGCTTAAGATAAGGAATAGTACACATTTCTCTAATCACAACATAAACTTATGTCTGATGAAACAGCTTTAGCAAGACACAGGCCAAATACCTAATCAAAGAAGAAATTCTTTTTTCAAATGGTGGAAGGTAAACTCAGTATCCTAAGGGGAATTATTCCTGCTCTATAATCTCGCTTACCACTATGTGGTGTAATAATAACTAGGTACCTTTACCACAATTTGGGAGGCTTCTTCACCCAGTGCTGAGAACCTGGACTTTGAAGTCAGACAGATGTACAGTCAAATCCAAATGCTCCCACCTATGAGCCATGGAATGTTAGGAAAGGTATTTATCTTCTTTGACCTCAACTTATCCATCTGAAAAACGTGGATAACATCAGTCACCTTTTATTGAGACACATTGCAGTAAGCCATTAATAAACTTGAAGCATTATAAATATCAGTCATCAAATGAGTTTCTTTCTTAGAATCCTAGAGAAACTATACAAAATTTTTCAGCTCGCTCACTACTCTACTTTGAATTCCTTTGATCCTATCCATCTACATATTTCTTTCATTAGTTCATTTCCCTCCATCTCTGCCGCTAACACACAGAATGAAAGGCATGAACAATCTCAAGTGGATTACTGGCACACACCCTTCACTGGACACTACTCATTCACGTTTGCTTTTCAGTCTTTTCAGATAATATTTTATGAGTGCTCTCACACTCCCTTTGTTTATAAATGAGGAAACTCAGGCCCAGGGAAGTTCATTAACTTGAGACTACATGAAGAGGTAATGTTTGAGTCTGAAATTAAGCCAAACTTCTTTTCAGCACACCATGGTGCATCCAAGTATAATGTGAAGAGGATGGGTTGGGAACACTTAGATAAAATATGAACCAGTATTTTCTCACCAGTCAAAAGGACTTGACAGTGGAGAACATGATATATTTTGGTGCTCATTTTTTTCATTTTATACTAGTAGTAGAATTTGAGCATTTTAACAGTGTTTAGATAAGAAGTAATACATTAAAGCAGTTTTTGTCCCATGTAATTGTTTGGTTTTTACCTTCAGGTTGTAAAGCTGAATTAGTATTTAAAGTATTATATTCCAAAGATCACTTAGTATGGCATTCTCCCCTTAATTGACTGTAATGCTTTTGATCTTCAGCCATCCAAGCAATTTAATAGTTTCAATAACTTTCTAGAGGTGAAAATAATGTATATATATTCAGAAACTTTTAACATAGAATTTGGAAGTTGGGGAACCTGAATTTCAATGCATGAACCTAGAAAATGTAATGAATTGACTTCTAAGTATGTTTTTTATTTGAAAAAAAAAATAAAATAAGGAGATGATTGGTCCATTGTGGTATTCTGTCTTTCTTTGATAACCAGCTTCCCCCTACCAATAGCTGTGATAACTGAAACAAGTGTTCCTTGGATGTCAATTGACTTTAATGAGTGATTCATTGCACAATGGAAACTACTTTGCATTCCCTCTAGATGCTTTCACTGTGTGGAAAAGATAAAGCTCTATTTAGCTTGGGGCTGACACAGTGGAACATAATTCACCTGCCTCCGCTGTCTCTACGAATAGCAAGAATAACCACTCATTTTACTAGAACATGTACCACATTTTCTCTCACTATGTCCTCAGAATAGGAGACCTATACAAATCAACAAAGTATAGAAGGAGGAAACTTGCATATCTGCCAGTTAAGGACAAGTATGTAAATTCAGAATAAAACACCTATGACTTTCAGGAGTCACATTTAGCCTGCAAGATGGTTATTAAGGTAGTGGACTTTTGTGATAAGGAATTTCAACAAAACATAGAACCAAAAACATACACCTCCTCGTTAAAACCAAACACAAGCATGCAAATGATGAAAGCAGTGAAGAAACCACCACCCCCTTCTAAACACACATACACACACACATACACACGCACACAGAAGCCCAGAGAATCATAAATAAGAAACCATAAGGTACACACCATGATTTGAAGCTAGCAGTGCTCTAAATTTGTGAATCAGAGATCAAGGCATCACAATGGTTTTTTTAATATACATATATATATAATAAACCCAATATGTTAGCTGGCAAAGAAGACTCTGTGGCCCAAGGCTATTTTTTAAACTGCTGCTCTGGAAGTTTCTAAGTGCTAAATGACTCTGGTCATACTTACTTGCCTTTTAAATGACTCCCACATGGTTAATATTTCTGAAATATCCCTGTACACACTAGGTAAATGGTTATGTCATGCAGTGATTGTCATTTCAGCTGTCACAAAGAGTTGGACACTTCAGCAAATAGAGGAGACAGCAAATAAAATGGTCTTAGGTATCACCAATTTGTTCATTTGAAAAAAGTTACAAAACAAATGCCCTTTCTTTAATATGGTTTGTTTTTAATAGCTTATACATCACCATTGAGTATAATGTAAGAATGAGAATGCATACCTCTAAATTTGACACCTTCCTAAACTCTAAAATTCTTCTACATTTAGGTTTTATTTTCACTGGATATTTTATTATTACTCGCACTGGTTATTGCTCTCAATAATGCTAATGGTAAGACAAAATTTTTTGGTAAAAATGAGTAGTGGCAATAGAAGTTAGGGGACTCACCTGCCTAATGAGATAATGCAAGGCTTCAAGCTTCTGGAGTTACACTTCTCTGTTAAAGAGAAGACCAAAACAATTGTGTGCTTATCTTCACAGAAGCATCAGATAAGGTTAACTGTACTCTTCGAATAATTTTCTTATTTTATGGGATAGTTTTACAAACATTTTGAGGATGAACCTCCATTCCATGCATGTGTATAAACCATACAAATGTAGTGCTGTATGAATAGATTATAAAGTACATTATAGAACATGCAAAGATATTTTGGCCCAGTGGATCATTTGGGGCCTCTTCGTAGAGCAGTACTCTAGCACTGGAATCAACACCATGCCTACATACCCTTGAAACAGGACCCTGGGAGAGACTAGCAAGGGTAATCCCAAGGAAGTCTTAGTTTAGAAGCAGCAAGCTTTGAATGAACCAAAGCAAAGTAGCAAGAAGGCTGTGATGCCTTCACTGAATCATTTTTCCCGGTTCTGTAAGACTGTACAACTAAGAATGGACTCATCAGAAGTCATCTGAAGGAGAAGGATAGTTCTATGCTATTTCCAAATTAATTTTACAGTAGTCATAAAACTTCAATATAAAGATTAGAAGTAGGACTACCTGAGAATGGAACAAATTCGGATTATTGCTCTTGTATGTCACTAGCCTGGATTCTACTCTGAAGCACAACTGCTGTTCTTAATTCTCTTCAAAACTTGTCTATCCCAAGCTATTTCTCTCTCCTGTAAAGCAATTAATGGAATTACACCCAACAGAGACTCAACAAAGGAGTAATTTAGGTTATGACAGCTTCCTAATCACATACCTGGTAGCAACAGACCTATGGAAAATGAGAAGTAGTTAGGACATCTATCTGCAAAGACCCGATATCTCTTTGATTGTTCATAGTTTTATATGGGGTGCCTTGGACTTATAGTATAAATATGTATAGCCACAGCATCTACTAATAATGTAGACTGTCACCATGCCTGTTAAATTTCTCTAACTACCATACGAAAGTTACACCATTTTTAGTTCTTTAATTACCTATGTTTTATTGATAGGGTTCCTAAAACCTATTTTTTTCCCAAGTCCCTTTACTGGATATTGCTGAAAGTCACCATGCACTTACAAACTTAAGTTTATTACTCTACCAGTACAATCAGGCATAAACTTGTCACATTCATCAGATTTTATATGAAAAAAAGGAGAGTCATAAGAAAATCTAGGAAGTATTAATACATTGCTGACAAGGATCATCACCAATACTCTTCAAAATTAATATCCATTAATTTTGGCTTCCTTCCTACCTTCCTTCCCTCTTCCTTCTTTCTTCCATCCTGCTACTGAGAATAAAGTAACCAGATCTGGGGCTTTGGAGTGGGTGGGATGATTCCTATTTTTTTTAGCTGAGGGCAAAATATATGCATCACATTTTAAAACATCATAAAACAAGAGTGTGAACCAAGTTTGCAACTAATGATTTTAAGGAGAAAGCATTCACATTTTAAAAGAACAACTTCAAAGCAAAAATCTTGGGTTAGCTTTCCCCCCACTGCCCAGTGCCCCTTAAAATGACTGCAAATAATTTCTGAAAGAGGAAAAAATCTCACAATAACAAAACAAAGGGGGCAGGAGGGACAGAGAAAATGGCACTATTTTAGAAGCTAGACTGCAGAAAGACAAGAAGCAAATCCTTAGCTAAGAAAGTTGATTCCTAGGTTAGCAGTAAAGAAGGTCAAAAACCAATTCAATTTGCACTATAGAACCCCAAATGCCCCAGGAATTGGCAGCACATGGAGTTGGAAGAATGGGGAAGGCAAATCTAAAGATAGAAGGAGCTTGAAATTCTATTTAGGAAGCAGAGGATCTCCAGATTCCCTGAGACCCAGAATTTAAGGCTTTTATTTTAGATACCGTAGTGAGTGAAATTCGGGAGTTAAACACACCATGAGATCCCAAAGTTCTATGCCTAACAACCTCCTTATAAGAGTTAGATTTTAAAAACTACATGTTTTTCTTGATAATAATGAAAACTGTGTCTTCTTTTTTATATAATGGTTTACAAAGCATTTTTACATTTATTGTCTAATGTAATCTTTACAGCAATCCTTTCTGGTAGGTAAGACAAAATGATTTCCTCGTCTTTGAGATGAGGAAGAAGCTGTCAACTTGTCAGTTGTAAAATCCTGCAGAGTAGTATGCAAAGTCTTCAAACCTTCACTTTCTTGTAGCTTAGATTGCCCTTTGATCCCTTTCCTACAGGTCTACTTGTCTAAGAAAGTAATTTGCCCTCTTTGGTGTTCATAACAATCCTTTGAGAAGCTTTTAAAAAATAACCCAGTCCCCAAAATTCTCATTGGGTAAGACTGAGCTGAGGACCTGGAATGTACATTTTAACAAATTATTCATGTGATTTTAATTCAGATAGTGGTGGGGGTCATCTTCTGAAAACAACTTCATTAAGAATTCTAATTGTCACCAGAGGAGAAGGCAACACATCTGGACCACGTTAGCTGGGTCTCACCAACAGCAAATGAACAAACAAATGAATAAAATAATCCAAAACCAAACACCAACTTACATTTTCACTAAGTGACATTTGCGTAGTACACCTATGACTTTCATCAAAAGTGGGTGGGATATGAGAGACATCTCTGTATGTTTTGCAAAAGCTCTGTAGAGAGTATTATTTCTGTGTAGGTAGGAACCACCCAATGGATGCTTTTCAGAATTCAGGACAAGGAAAAGAAAATAGTTATGAGCTCTAATTAACTTAGAATACTTTTAATCAGTGCTCCTTTTTGTCTTGCCTACCAGCAAGCTCAAAACAAAATTTGATATTACAAAGTTTTAGGCATATGTGAAGCAGGAGAATGGGGTCTGGATGCAGGAAACCTAAGGACTTCCTAAAACTAAATCAAAGGGAAACACTTCAGCTATGACAGGAAATATCCTCTCCATTTACATAGGACAAACACCGAGTAAATGACTTTGTAACTTTCCTTCATCCTCTTCATTTACATAGGGTGTACATCAAGTAACCAATGGAAACCTCTTGAGGATATTTAAACCCCCAAAAAATTCTTTAACAGGGCTCTTGAGCCCCTATGCTTGGGCCCACTGCCACTCTGTGGAGTGTACTTTCATTTTCAATGAATCTCTGCTTTTGTTGCTTCATTCTTTCCTTGCTTTGTCTGTGCATTTTGTCCAATTCTTTGTTCAAGTTGCCAAGAACCTGGACACCATCCACTGGTAACATATGCACTTTTCCATTGAGAACCTCACGCTCTCATACAGTCATATACATGTAGTGTCAGATTTTTTTTTTTTTAATTTTAACTGTCTTATTATACATGAATTTTTAAAAGCTATCTTAAAATCATTTGAGATGTAGGTAGGGTACAAAGTATAAATAAATACACCTGAGAAATAAGAAATAAACAAATTCATCCAGAAATAATTTCAACGTGAAGAAAGAACAGAGAACTAGAGGTTTGAAGTGGTAGATTTTTTTTTTCAAAACATCATTCTTTCAGGCACAGTTGGTAAGTACACCTGTCATATATGCTTCCAAAAATGTAGCTCAAAATGATAACATACTGAGAGAAAAACAAATCTTGGGAATAGAAAATTCATTTGTTATAACCAGTTTTACGTACACTCTCTCAAAATAGCCATCTGTACTAAAATGTGTACATAACAGAATGACTTGCTGCAATACAAAAAGGTTCATATATATATTTAGGCTTTGGAACTTTCTAAAGGCTCGAAAACTTCTCTGAAGCACCTTTCATACTTTCTACAGAGGTGCTTTATATAAGTGAATAAGAGTTTATGTAAAGAAACAGCAGCTGCTTAAATAAATCCTATTACAGTGTTGCCTGCTCTATTTTTTCCTTTTTTCTTTCCGTTAAAATACTTATTTAGCTTTTCCCCTTCTGAGGTCCTCCCTGCATTTTAATTTTATTTAACAAACTTCTGCAAGGTGCAAACTATATGCTATTACTTTCCTTTGTGCTTTATGAGTATTAACTTATTGAATACTCATAGAAAACTATAATGGAAGCAAAAATTTCCCAAGGTCATATGGCTACCATGGAAGAGCTGAGATCTGAAACCAAGGAGTCTGGCTTCAGTATCTGTGACCACACTGTATACACTACTGGCTCTATGCTTACATATATGACTGAAAAACGCAATGCTAAGCAGAGAAAAATACATCATCCATCCATTAATTCTTTTCCTCCTATGCAAACTGGATATCTGTCTAACTACATTGGCCATTTCAATCAAATTGCCTGAAGAATCCTCTTGCAGTTCTCAGATATCTATCTATAGATGCTGATTTTATTTTAGAAAAAAAAGGAAAATGCTTCAAAATGTATACATAATTCTTCAATCCTAACATATTATTTGACTTAGCAATAGCTTTTGGACGGTAGGAGAGTCACTACATTAAACATATATATCAATCACAAGAAGCATCCAAGTTGAGAAATATTAGTTTAAAAGGATGAAACTTAGAACCAAGAAAACAATGTAATAATGTAATCCCTACTTTTTATAGGTTTCTCCTTCTATTTACTTATAATAGGGACCTGATGCATAGGTAGATTTTTAACTGCCTTGAACTCTTATTTGAAGTATACAGGATAAGAGTAACAATTTATTTTAATTATTAGAAACTATTCATTTTACTAAACAAGTATAATGTTATGCTATTCAGGATTAATGTTTTATAAGATATTACTAGTATTATTAAGGTGTTTAAGGTAAAATGCTTATTTAAATAGACTGTATTACAATCCTCTAAACGTTATTTTTAATAGAATAGGGTAGAAAAATGAAGGTATAAAGAGTATTTGATGACAACTTAGTGCAAAGCGGAAAGTTTAAAAATTATCCATCCAGTTTTAATTCTCCCTAAGATAATTTTTCTGGCTTATAACAACAGTAATCTTTAATAATTATTCAGTTTTTGTCAAACAAATCTGAAATTTGAGTAGGGCTTATTGAGGATGACTCAACTCAGTTCCATATGGCATCAGCTGGGTGATTCTATTAGGGCTAGAGGATCCACCTCTAAGAAGACTCACTCATGTGGCTATCCGGTTGGTAGTGGCTATTGACTCAGCCAAGGTTGCTGACAAGGATAATTGGCTCCTGTTCATGTGGCTTGTACAGGGAGCTGCTTGGACTTCCTAACAGCATGGTGTCTGGGTCCTAAGAGGTTGCTAGAAAGGAACTTCCTCAGTTCCTAAAACTGAGGTTCCTAGACCTAGAAAGTGTCTGTGAGGCTTTTTCTGCCCAAGCCTCTAAGTCTCAGAATGTCACTTCTACACTCCAATAGACAAGCAAATCATAATGGCCAGCTCAGACTCCAGGGAGGGGAAATCAGATTCCATGTCTCAATACATAAATAGCAAATAATTTATAGCTATCTTGTAATCAACTATATCAATATATAAATTGAACATAATGTTTATAAAAATGCGAAGTTTTCATTTTCTTAAACTAAAAAGTTGGGGCTAACATTTTTGTCAATAAATGTAATTCATCATATAAACAAAGTTAAGGACAGAAAGCATATGATCATCTCAATAAATTCAGAAAAAGCATTTAATAGAATTCAGCATTCCTTCATGATGAAGACCCTTAACAAACTAGGCAAAGAAGAAATACACCTCAAAATAATATAGGCCAAATATGCTAACCCACAGCCAATGTCATACTTAATAAAAATAGTTGAAAGCATTCCTTTTAAAACTAGAACAAGACAAGGATTTTACAATTACACCAGTCCTATGCAACACAGTACTGGAAGTCCTAGCCAGAGCAATCAGGAAAGAGAAATAAATAAAAGGCATCCAAATCGGAAAAGAGGAAGTTGTATTATCTCTGTTTACTGATGATATGATGTTATATCTATAAAACCCTAACGACTTTGCAAAAGAACCTCTTAGATTTGATAAATAAATTCAGTGAAGTTTCAGAATACAAAATAGATATACAAAAATCAGTAGCATTTTTATACACTAACAACAATGAAACCGAGAACAAAATCAAGAAGGTAATCCCATTTATAATAGCTACCTAAAAAATACCTAGCAGCATATTTAAACAAGAGGTGAAAGATCTCTACAAGGGAAGCTACAAAAGTCTGAGGAAAGAAATCATAGAGGACACCAACAAATGCAAAAATATCCCACATTCATGAATTGGAAGAATCAATATTGTTAAAATGACCATAGTGCCTAAAGCAATCTACAGATTCAATGCAATTTCTAACCAAAATATCAATGTCATGTTTCAAAGAATTAGAGAAAACATCCTAAAATGTATACGGAACCAAAAAAGAGCTCGAATAGCCAAAGCAACCCTAAGCAAAAAGGACAAAGCTGGAAGCAACACATTACCTGACCTCAAATTGTACTACAAGACTATAGTAACTATAACAGCATAGTACTGGTATACAAACAGACAAATAGATCAACGGAACAGAATTGAGATCCCAGAGGTTAAGCTACATATCTATAGCCAACAGATTGACAAAAACGTACACCAGGGAAAGGACAGCCTTTTCAAATGGTGCTGGGAATTGCCATATGTAGAATAATGAAACTGGACCCCTCTCTCACACCCAACACAAAAATCAACTCAAGATGGAATAAAGACTTAAATGTAAGACCCGAAACTATCAAAATGATAGACAAAAACCTAAGGAAAATTCTTCTGGATATTTTCCCAGGCAAGGCATTCATGACTAAGATCTCAAAAGCACAAGCAACAAAACCAAAAATAAACAAATGGGACTCAGAGAAACTAAAAGTTCCTGCACAGCAAAAGAAATAATCAACGGAGTGAACAGACAGCCTATGTAACAGACAAAATACTTGCAGACTATGTATCTGACAGTGGACTAATATCCAAAATTTATAAGAAACTCAAACTCAACAATAACAACCAAATAACCCAATTAAAAAGTGGGCAAAGGGGCCGGGCATGGTGGCTCACACCTGTAACGCCAGCACATTGGGAGGCTGAGGCAGGCAGATTACTTGATGTCAGGAGTTTGAAACCGGCCTGGCCAACATGGTGAAATCCCATCTCTACTAGAAAACACAAAAATTAGCTGGGCATGGTGGTGTGTGCCTGTAATCCCAACTACTCAGGAAGCTGAGGCAGGAGAATCGCTTGAACCCAGGAGTTGGAGGTTGCAGTGAGCCAAGACCACGCCACTGCACTCCAGCCTGGGTGACAGACAGACTCTGTCTCAAAAAACAAAACAAAAAAAATGGGCAAAGAACATGAGTAGACATTTTTCAAAAGAAGACATACAAATGGTCAACAAGCATAAAAAAAAATGCTCAACATCACTAACCATCAGAGATATGCAAACTAAAACCACAATGAGGTATCATCTTATACCAGTCAGAATGGCTATTATTAAAGTCAAAAAATAACAAATGTTGGTGAGGATGCAGAGAAAAAGAAATACATATACACTGCTACGGGGAATGTAAATTAGTAAGACCTCTATGGAAAACAGTATGAAGACTTCTCAAAGAAATAAGAATAGAACTACCATTCAATCCAGCAATCCCACTACTGGGTATCTACCCAGTGGAAAAGAAATCATTATATCAAAAATATCTGCTCTCTTATGTTTATCACAACACTATTCACAATAGCAAAGATATGGAATCAACCTAACTGTCCATCAACAGATGAGCGAATAAAAAAGTAATATATATATAACAACTTATTATATATACATATATATAACACATAAATATTGAATATATATGGGATACTATTCAGCCATATAAAGAATGAAATCATACATGGATAGAACTAGAGGTCATTATCTTAAGAGGAAACAACTCAGAAACAGCAAGTCAAACACTACCCATTCCCACCTAGAAATGGGAGCTAAACAGCGTGTAGACATGAACATACAGAGTGGAATAATGGATACTGGAGACTTGGAGGGGTAGGAGGGTGGGAGACAGGTGAGGGATGAATAATTACTTAATGGATACAATGTATATTATTCAAGTGAGGCTTACATTAAAAGCCCAGACTTCAACACTACACAATTTATCCATGTATCAAAAATGCACTTGTACTCCTTAAATTTATACAAATAATAAAAAAAAAAAATAAACAGGCAAGGAGTTAGAAAATCCCTCCAAAAATAACAAGAGGCAGTAGCAGTCCTGCCAAATATAAAAGCATACTCTATAACCACCATAATTAAAAGCATATGAGGTTTCTCCAATGAACAAAATAGATTACCAGAAATCTACTTAAGAATGTATGAAAACTTCGTGTATAGTAAAGGTAGCATCTCAGTTCACTGTTGAAAACATAAATATTTGTAATAAATTATGTTGAGACAACTGAATACTTATTTCACAACCTAACATTACTCACCACAATAAGTTCCAAATGAAACAAGAATTTTGGTGAATAAAAAAGTAAACCATATAGACACCACTCATTATCACAAAGATACAAATTTAATGCACAATGTGATACCATTCCTAACCTGTTGTATTTGCAAACTTTAAAGTTTGACAATACATACATAGGCGGGAGTCAGGTATAGATTCTGGAGCAAGTGTAAACTATACAATAACCATTGTGGTGAAATCTGTATTATCTTCCACAACAGAAACAGTTCCCTTTCTAGGAATTTCCCCTAAAAATAAACTTCCTATATCTATTCCAGATCTATATCTACATTCATATTTATCTATATCTATGCAAGAGTTTATTCATTGTGCCATCATTTGGAAAGGCAAAATAGTGAAAACTGTCATAGGATGCCATCCATAGGAAGCTAATTTGAGTGAATAATGATGAGTAGGAAGTATGTAGCTGAAGATGAATGAAGTGGATATTCATGGTCTGTGTTACATCTAAGATGTATTAAGTTAAAAAAAATCAAACTGTAAGAAAGTTGATAAAGATATTGCACAGTATGCCACTATTTGTGTAACAAATGAGAAATAAGAAATAAGTATGCATACATACACGTATATACATATGCAAATATAAAAAATATAAATTTAGGTTTTTTTGCAAAAAGAAATTAAGAATATAGTATCCTTTTATGAGGTAAATGGAAATGGTAAGTGAAAAGATTATTATGGGAGAAATATTTGAGTATACATTTTCATATAGTTTTATTTTGAAAAACTATATTTTTTAAATAAGAACTCAAGTAATTTGAACACAGTTTTCTTATTGAACACTTTAAGTGTACTTTAATGGTTTATATCATATGGACCAAAAGAACTACAAGAAACCTTTAATTTTTACTTTTATGATATTCTTTTAGTAATAGTATAGATACAATCCTAAAACCAACTTTCTCTCTCTTTCTCTCTAGGTCTGTGTGTGATTATAGTTGCCTGTGTGTTGTGAGATAGAACGATAAGTACCTATTTTAACTTTATTAGGAACTAGTTTTCACGGTGAGAAAAGGAGAACACTAGGAGGGAATGTGAAGGTGAAAAAGAATCTTATGGCATTTCATTTGAATTTAAAATAACAATGTGGACTCAACATTTTTTAACTGCTTTGTTCAGGTATAATTGACACATAAAAAATTGCGCATATTTAAAATATGTAATTTGATATGTTTTGACATATGTATTGACATATGTATGACATGTATATGTAATAGTTACATAGACATGTAACTTGTAATAGTTACAAAATGTAACTTGTAACATGTAATAGTTACATGTCTATGTAACTATTACTGCAATCAAGATTGTATCCTTATCTATCACTCCCAACAGTGTTCTTATATTCTTTGGAATCCCTCTCTCTCTTCCCCAGTGTCCCATCCAGCAACCACTCATATTCTTTCTGTTACTATAGTTTGCATTTTCTAAAGTTTTATACTAATGGAATTATCCAGTATATACTCTTGCCAAGGAGAGAATCTGACTTCTTTCATTCAGCATAATTATTTTAATATTCAATAGTTAATTCCTTCTTATTACTGAGTTGTATTCCATTTTATGCTTATTTCACAATTTATCTGTTCATCTGCTGATGAATATTTAGGTTGTTTTGGGTTTCATACTAATAGAAATAAAGGTTCTATGAACATTCATGCACAAATTTTTTAATAGACACATGCTTTCTTTTTTCTTGGTTAAATACTGATGAGTGGGATGGTTGGATCTTATAGTAGGGCTGAGCGTGGTGGCTCATGCCTGTAATCCCAGCACTTTGGGATGCCAAGGTGGGTGGATCACCTGAGGTCAGGAATTTGAGACCAGCCTGACCAACGTGGTGAAATCCCATCTCTACTAAAAATACAAAAATTAGCTGGGTGTGGTGGTGCATGCCTGTAATCTCAGCTACTCAGGAAGGTGAGACACAAGAATGGCTTGAATCCAGGAGGCAGAGGTTGCAGTGAGCTGAGATAGGGCCCCTGCACTCCAGCCTGGGCAATAAAGTGAGACTTTGTCTAAAAAAAAAAGAAAGAAAGAAAAAAGAAAAAGAAGAATCTACCCAGTTGTTTTCCAAAGTGGTTGTATCATTTTACATTCCCATCTGTGTACAAGAGTTTGGAATTCCTCACACCCTCCACTAACTTGGTATGATCATCTTTTTAACTTATTTTGCTACATGTAAAGTGGTATCTCATTTTTGCTGTCATTTGCATTTCACAGCATGTGCTTATTTCTTATCTCTTATCTCCTTTGGTGAAGCATTGTTTAAATATTTTGACTGGTTTTTATTTTGTATTTTGGTTTCTTATTATTGTGTTTAGAGATTTTGTTATACATTTTGGGTATAAATCCTTTACAGATATATTATTTGAAAATATTTTCTCTCAATTTGTAGCATATCTGTTCATCCTCTTAATGAAGTCATTTGATTTAAATTTTGGTGGTGTCCAGTTTATCATTTTTTTTTTCTGGAATTCAAGTAGTGTTAATTCTACTTTGTTCTTTTTCAGTGTTGTTTTAAAAATTCTAGGTTCTTTGCACTTCCATATGACTTTGAAACTCAGATTGTCAATTTCTTTCCTTTTAAGAAAAAAGGCTGATTATATTTTTATTGGTGTAACATTAAATCCATAGATTAATGGGAGAGAACTGATATCTTAATAATAGTGCCTCTTTTGTTCAAAGACCAAGGTCTATCTCCATTTATTCTGGTCTTCTTTGATTTATCTCAACAATACTTTTCTATTTTCAGAATACAGGCCTTTAACAACTTTTGTCATATTCATCCCTATGTATTTCATATTTTCATGTTATTGGCTTTGGCAGAATTTGCTCCTATTCTTCTATAATAGTTTCATAAAATGAAGCTGATGCCTTTAATTTGACCTTCCTTCTTTTCTAATATAGGCGTTTAGTATATAAATTTTACCTTATGTCTGCTTAGGGGAAGTTCCTAAATTATGATATATTGTATTTTCATTCAGTTTAAAATATTTTCCATTTTTTTATTCTGATTTATTTTTGATCCAAGTGTTATTTGGTTTTCAAATATTTGGGAATTTTCCAGAGACTTTCTTTTATTGATTTCCATTTCAATTCCATTAAGATCAGAAAACACATTTTGCATGACTTGGATCCATTTAAATGTACTGCAACTTGTTTTGTGATCCAGAATATTGCTTATCTTGGTAAAAGTTCTGTGCATGCTTGAAAAGAATGAGTATTTTGCTCCTGTTGGGTGGGATGTTTTATATATATGTCAATTATGTCAAATTGGTTATTAGTATTGCTCAAATCTTCTATATTCTTATTGATCTTCTGTCTACTGATTCTATCAATTACAGAAAAAAGGGTATTTCAATTTCTGATTAAAATTTTGTATTTGTCTGTTTCTCCTTGAAGTTTGATCAGGTTTTGATTTATGTATTTTGAAGCTCTATTATTAGAAGCATAAGCATTTAGGCTTGTTATGTCTTCTTGATGGATTAACCCCTTTATCATTTTGAAGTGAACTTTGTCATATAATTCAAGTAATATTCTTTGTTCTGAAATTGGTATAACTGATATTAACATAGCCATTCTGGCTTTCTTTTGAGTAATGTTAACCTGGCATTTATTTTCCATTCTGTTACTTTTAACCTGTGTTTTTATATTAAAATGTATTTCTTTTAGACAGCAAAAATGTTTTAATTTTGTTTTTTATCCAATCTTGACAATCTCTGCCTTTTAAATGGAAATGTTTAAAACATTTGCCTTCAATGTGATTATTGATATGGTTAAATTTGACAGTATTTTATTATGTGTTTTCAATATGTTCCATCTGTTTATTCCCCTTTATCTATTTTTCTGCCTACCTTTGGATTAGTTGAACATTTTTATAATTCCATTTTGTATCCTTTTTTGGCTTATTAGGTGTAACTCTTTGTTTTGATATTTTAGTCATTGATTTAGGGTTTATAGTGGACATCTTTTTATTGATATGTAATAATTGTACATACTTATGGGGCACATGAGATATTTTGATACTTGCACACAATGTGTAATGATACAATCAGATTAACTGGGATATATATTACCTCAAGCATTTATTATTTTTTGTGTTGGAAACACTTCAAATCTTTTCTTCTAGCATCCAGGAAAAAATTATTCAAAAGAATTAAAGTGAACAGTGTGTGACACACACACAGGACTATAACCAATGCACATTCCTAACCAGAGAAAGTGGTGAACTCTTAATTCGTGAGGCATGGGGTAGTGTACTTAGGAAGCTCTTGCTTCAGTAGCAGGAAACGATTAGTCCTACTTTCTACTGGTGATTAATTATTCCAGCCTCCAAAAGGTCTTAATTTCACTGTAGCTATTAAAATATATTTTGTTGGGTATAGAGAATTCCACATTGATAATTTTTTTTTTGGAGGGGGTATTATTGTCATTTAAAAACGATCTATAAGAAGGGAAAGGCTAATTTCTACCTAAGTGTCTGAGTGTGGTCAAGAAGAGACCACATACCACGGGATGGACCACTTTCTGACAGACCCCTCTCCTCAGGGAATAGGGGGCAGAGCCAAAAGCGGCTAGAGTGAGGATTTCACCTGTCCACTGCCAGCAATGGGCCTGTCACAAGGAAAAGGGGGAGGGCAGAACCAAGATAACAATGCCCATGAGTGTGGCAGGGTTCAGACTGTTTAAGGAGCAAGCTCAAAGAATCTTCCTCACTGGGTGGGGGCCGAGGAGAATGGCAACCATGAGAATGCTTTGCCACAGGGCTGGGATTATGGCAGAGAAAGAACCGATCCTTTCTGACAAAGGGTGTTCCAAAGAGCTTTCCAAGGCTGAAGGACACCTCTTTTTTTCTCCCTCATTCTCCATGAGTCTCTAATACTGGATTACCTCCTCCTCCATCCCCTGGAATGCTAGATTGCTCAATTAGTTTGAAAATAAACCAGTTAGAGCCTAAGTGACTGAGAACTCTGATTTTTCCCCATGGAACTAATTTTCCTCTAGGTTACCATTGTGGATCCACAAGGCCCATCTCGGCCTGACTGTGCATTGAAGGGCATCATTCATTCTCAACTGGGCCACTGTGGAGAGGAGACACTGCCACAGCCCACTAGACCAAGAGTTGGGAAGCATAACTCAGGAATTCCCAAAGCACAAGGAATAGTGGTGCTAAAAGAGATAAAGTGGGAATAGTGGAGGAAAGCCTGCAAGAGATGGGAGGGCACTGTCATGGGGACTGAAACCTCCAAAAGCCCAATGTTGGTGGGAATCCAGCACTACGGGGGCCCCCAAAGGCCAAGGGAGCTATGCATGTCTGTGAGGGAGGGGAGAGGAGACAAGGGAAAGTCTCCCAGCTTTTGTACATCAACATTACTGCCAAGAAGCCTCCTGGCTGCCCAGTATCTCTTAAGCGACAGCTCAGCAGACCTCTGTGAAGGTACTGGTTGCAAGCAAGAACCTGAAAGTTGCCTAATGGAACCAGCCAAAGTCCAACTAAATCCAGATGAGAGGGAGGGAGGTCAGGCCTTGCCTCCTACCTGTGGCCCCATTCTCAATGTCCCTTAGCCAGGATGGCCTGCTGCTTCCAAAGTCAACTGTACAGTCCAATCACCGCTTACCCACAGCCTCCCACCACCAGCCTCTGAGCTGGGCCAAAATCCATGTATCCTTCCCTATGTTCCTCTGCTGCCTTGACACCCTGTCCCCCACCACCTGACCATGCCCCCTCAACACCTGCCCACCTTGGAGGGTATGGGGCTGTGTGTGCCCTACAGGGCTGAGGCCTGGCCAGGGCAGGGCTTGTGCTGCACAGAAGGCGCAATACACCAGCTTGGTCTCTTTGTCCATGAATTCCATAAGAGATCTCCAGAACACCCACTCATCCCTCTCTACTCTCAGTCAGTCTTGACATGGATGTTGGCCAGGGCCAGGGGTCCACTAGGCTTCCCAGGCTGGGTGTCACTGAAGCAGGGGCAGAGTGCGCTGGAGTTGTTCCATGATGAGGGACTCGCAGAACCAGGGCACAGCATACTCCAGGGTGATAGGCCCATGAAGTCAAAATGGAACTGGGAGTACTTCCAGAGGCAGGTGTTGAACTGGTGCAGGATGCAGCAAGGGGCGAACTCTCACAAGTAGGCCAGAGCCAAAGCGTGTAGATGAGGCAGCGCAGTAGCAGTGGGTAGCAGCCATGCAGACACAGGTACATGCGTCCCATGACAAGGATGGAGGTGTCATAAATGAAGAGGGCCCACATGCTTGCCTGGAACTTCCAGTTCAAGTTCATCATGGACTCCCACAGCGAGCATCACCTCGCAGAAGTAAGCCGTGGATGTCATACAGGTACCAGTAGGACAGGGCCACTGAGGCCAGGCAGATGCCAAGGTGCTGACTGGGGCTGGCTCCTTGTTTAGCCCTGGGATCTCAGTCCTGGGAAAGCTTGCAGCAGGAAGAACTGGTAGTTCAGTGGACATTGGCCCCTCTCTCTTGTCATACTGTTGAGCGCGCTGCTCAGAACAAACATCAGAATCACTGTCCAAGAGTGTCCCAGGTTAACCTTTGTTGGCTGGTCCTTGGTGCCATTCTCAGTAGGTAAGCACCAGCCCCAGGGCTCAGGTGATCTGCAGCTGGTGGACTGGCAGCTTCCATGTGTGCCTTTTATTTGGGCATCCTGTTTGCTGGTTCCGCTGATGTATGTTTTTATAATTAAAATAGAGAGAAAGTCAAGTGTGGTGGCACACACCTGTACCAGTGCACATGATGGCACACTCCCAGTTATTTGGGAAGCTGAAGTGGCAGGATCACTTGAGCCCAGGAGTTCAAAACCAGCCTGGGCAGCATAACCAGACTCTATCTCTTTCAGTGAGTAAGAGTCTTGTTTCCCCAACTCTGGTAGCCTGGTTGCAAACATAAAGAGGTCACTAGGATTATTTTTTCCCCAGTATGCCCAAATAAAGCTCAGTAACTTTCACACTAACATTCTTACATGTCAATCGAGTGAATGAGGAATGAGCATCTGTTTCCATTGTACAAATGTGGTACAAACTGCTGACAGCTTTTTGATTTTTGCTTTTGAAAGTACTGTACTTTGAAGTACTTTGCTCACCCTTATTTTCACTTACATTGTTTCTGATTAAAATTCTGCTGCTATTATCTTCTTCTGTATGCCTAGTGTATTTTCCTTCTCAGATGATTTTTATATGCTCTTATTACCATTATTTTCAAGCAATTTCATTATGATGTGCATGTTGTCATTTATTTTGTGTTTCTTGTGATTGGGGCTCATAGAACTTCTGGGATCTATAGATGTATAGTTTTCATCACATTTAGAATTCTCTCAACAATTGTGTCTTCAAATATTTTCTGTAACCCTTTCTCTCTACTCTGCTTTAGAGAATTCAGTTATGCACATATGAGGTCTCTTAAAGTTGTGCCACAGATAGGTCGCCAAAGCTCTCTCTATTTTTCTAAATTTTCTTTTCTCCGTTTCATCCTGAATAGTTTCTATTGCTGTGTCTTCAAATTCACTTCTTTTCTTCTGTGATGTTAATCTGCTCTAATCACATTCAATGTATTTTTCATCTTACATATTATAGGTTTCATGTTTAGAAGGTAGCTTCAGATGTGTGTATATATATACACATTTTATATTTAACTTAAAAATATTTAATACAGTTATGACTTTTAATGTCTTGTCTGCTAATTCTAACGTATTGGTCAGTTCTAGTACAGTGTCAGTTGACTTAGTATTTTACTTATAAAGGGTCATACATAAGTACTTTTTTTGCATACTTTGCAACCTTTGATTGGATACCAAACATTTTGAAATTTATCTTATTGGGTGCTGGATATGTTTGCAGCCCTAAAAACATTCTTGAGCTTTGAGCTGAGCCTCTGTTAAGGTATATTACAACAGTTTGCAAAGCCTTTTGAATCTTGCTTTAAGAAGTGTTAAGTAGGTACAGGGCAGCACTAGATCTAGGGTTAATTACTTTCCACCAAGGCAAGAACTTCCTGAGTACACTACCCCATGTCTCATGAATTAATTTGTCAGTTTAGCTGGTTAGCAGTGTGCATCAGTTCTAGTTTTGTTTACACATCATACGTTGGTCAATGTAATGGTTTTGGCAAATTCTTTCCCTGAACTGTGATGGCTTCTTCACATGCATGTTTTAATCATGGTGCTTAATACTCAAGGGAGACCCCCCAATGCCCCCGTTGCCACCCACAGCCACTTTGGTCGGCTGGACTGCATCTCCCCAGTCCTGAGAGTCGGCTAGATTCCATCTGGGTTTGTCTTTCCTATAGTGTAGTCTGAAAACTCTCAAGGCAATAAATTGGGAGAGTTGTATGGCATATTTTGCCTGTTTTTTTGTTTCTCAGGATTTGTTCTCTTTCATCTTCATTGTCTGACATCCATTGTATTGGAACTCCTTGTTTCCTATAATTTATTTAATTTAGTTTAGTTTTGTGTTTTGGTTACTTTAGGCAAGAGGTAGATCCAGTCTCTGTTACTCCATTTTGGCCAGAACAGAAGTAAAATCATGACATTAAAATATATATATATATGGAGAAAGAGAGAGAGAGAGAGAGAGAGAGAGCAGTCCACTGAAAGCATCTATATAAAATACTGGCAAACTTTTTTTTTCTTGTAAAGGGTAAGATAGTATATATTTTAGACTTTGCAGCCATATGGTCTCTGTTGCACATAATCAACTCCGCCATTGTAGTGTGAAAATAGAAATACATAATATGTAAACAACAGAGCATAGCTGTTCCAATAAAATATTATTTACAAAACCAGGAAGTAGATTGGATTTGCTTCACAGGCTCTAGCCTACCCACTTCTAATCTAGGTCAATGCCACCCCAGTAACAAAGATTAAACCTAGTATTAACATCTTGTTTTCAAAATATTATACTCCATTTAAAGAAATGAGAGTTTCTTAGGAAATGCCTTAATTTCAGTTTGAGGCAACAAAGTACAAAGTGAGCTTGAGACAAGGTAAGAAATACCCAGATATGGGCCAGGCACAGTGGCTCATGCCTATAATTCCAGCACTTTGGGAGGCTTAGGTGGGTGGATCACCTGAGGTCAGGAGACCAGCCGGGCCAACATGGCGAAACCCTGTCTCTACTAAAAATACAAAAATTAGCTGGGCGTGGTGGCACACACGCCTGTAATCCCAGCTATTTGAGAAGCTGAGGCAGGAGAATAGCTTGGCAGTGAGCCGAGATCGTGCCACTTCACTGCAGCCTGGGCGACAGAAGGAGATTCCATCTAAAAAATAATAATAATAATAAAAAGAAGTACCCAGATATTAATGGGATCAAAAGTAGCTGAAGTGAAGGAACTTGAAGGGGCCAACTTTAGATATTAGAGTATAAGAAAGAATAATGAATTAATTTACTATAACAAAATTAAATGGTGTTTTAGAAAGAATAACAAGTACAAAGGGATTAGAAAATTACAAATTTGCTTCATATCCTCTAGTGTAATGATTTAGTCACTCAAGGATTATCAAGAATACTAGGAAACAGAAGAGGTACACTATCTTAAAATATCTCAAATACTTCAAAATATCACTCCATAGTTTGATTATTAATCATGAAGAGAAAAATGTACTTTTTAAATGGTAAAATATGATGGGCACTGTCTTAACCAAGTGTTCAAATATATAGTATCATAAATAATAGAAAGCCCTGATATGATTTGCTTTCTAACAAAAGTAAGCAACAACCCCTAAGTAATATTCTTGCCAAAGTGTTTAATCTGATCTAACTATGACAAGATAATGAAACAAATACAGAATGTGAATTATTGTAAGCAACGTTTGGACTTGGCCATAAAAAGACATCAGGGTCATAAAAAACCAAAAAATTAGAATGTGGGGCAACTAATTTAAGACATAGTAAATGGACGGTTCATGAATTTTGATTAACTCCTGGATGGAAAATTCAAACACCGAAGTTATAAAAAACACTACTTGGGTCAATTAGGTAAATTTAAATATGGACTCTATGTTATCAGATTATTGTATTAAATAAATGTTAATTTTCTTAGATATGATAATAGCCTTACGGTGAAAGTCATTATTCATAAGAGATACGCATTGAAGTATTTTGTTGTGAAGTGTCCTGCTATCTGTTAGTTTAAAATGATTCAAAAACGTTGTCAATAGATAGATAAAAAGATAAATATAAATGATATGTATAAAAATACTAACAATTAATGAACTTAGGTGAAGAATATAAAGAATGTTTATGGTATTCTTCTATAAGAAGAATATAATACTAAAATGCCAAAAATTAAATTTTTGAAGAAATATAGACCTTTCTTCTAAAATGTAAAATTTCCCTCATTAAAATACAGGCTTCAGATGACTGACTTTAGAGTCTATCTGATCATCAGACTGTTCCTCTGAATAATTTTACTGAGAAATAGTTTTGGAAATAATTTGCAATTTATCCTTTATATGTTACATACTTGGTACATTATGCATCATTATATTATGCACCCCGTTGTCCTTGAAAGATGACATATTAAGCAACATGTAGATAGGTGATTTTAAAAGCTTTTTTCAATAATGAATTAGAATATTGCAGTTTAGACTTTCAATAAAAGCTAAACATGGAAGGAGGAAAGAAGGGAAAAGAAATGGGAAGAAGAAAAGAGACAGAAAGAGAGGGAAGGAGATGAAAGAGAGAGCAAGAAAGGAAGGAGAAGGAGGAAAAAAGAGAAGAAAGAAAGGAAGGAAGAAGACTCCACAAACAAGAAAAGGAAAGAGGCAGACAGACAATTGCTTAGTGAACATTATAAAATGTGCAGCATTCCCTGAGGACAAACCATTTCCTTAACCAGATCCTGGGCTTCCAGTTGTGAACTCATTAAGCCCCATATTCCAGCATCAGTCTTGGCTTTTCTCTGGGAGACTCTCAGGATTTCTAGTCTAGTAGTTCAGGAGAATCATTGCTAGTCCAAAACAATTGCTAAGTCTTGTTCTGATCATCTTAAAACTGGTCTAATAATTATATTTCTGCACTTAAATCTCATTTTCAATAAACACATCCCCATAACAGTCCTCCATGTCTAACCATGAACCTGTCCAGTGCTATTCCCTATGACTGGATGCCAACCTTATCCCTATCAGTTTTCACAAGACCAGAGAAGGCTGAAAGGCTACCCAGCAGCTGAGGTCTGGCCCAGTTCTCCCAGCGGTCAGAGATGCCTCAACAGCTTGCTTGCTGCCAGACCAAGTTCTGTCCCCTTCAGTCCACTGATTGACCCAAATTAGCCACCTGTCTCGTTGAACCTCCAAGACTGAGACATCCCAAATGACTGCCTCATTCCATTGCTGCTTGGCAGCATTCCCCTAGAATGCAGCCTTAACTGAGCCAGAAAGAACATGCAGGCCAGGAAAATTGTTTATTGCTTGAATATTTTATTCTTAATGGCCTGTTCCATTCACATTTAGGGTGAGGAAGCAAACATAGTGAAATAAAATTCTAACAAGTGAAGCATTTTATATCAAAGATTCATGCCCAACAGTACAACTTCCTCACCCCTATGCTCACCAGTCCTTCAGCATTCCTGTTGAGCACACAACTGGCCAGACATAATACAAAGGCAGAACAATCACTTCTCTTGAAGTTTCAACTCTTTTTTTTCTGTTTTCATAAATACTACTCCTTTATTTATTCACTACCTTCCTATACTACATGCTGATATTCTATACCTCAGAAACAATTAATACCTATAATTAGCACATGAAAATTAATACATGAAAGGAATTCTTTCCTCCAAAATTACTGTGACACATCTCACAATGAACTTATAGGAAAAACACTGTGTAACCAGACTATGAACCATATTTTTAAAATTGATATTTCAATAAAGAGAACTCCCCTCATAGAGATTCCATCTCTGATTAAAATAATCCATTATGTGAAAGGGGCCTTAAAGTTACAATTCTTGTATACTATCTCATCAAATTGGTCATTAATTCTTGTGTGGTACGTACATTTTACAAAAGACAAATAAACATACCAGAGAAATTGAGCAACCTGACCTCACATGCTCAGCAGGTGATGAAAGGGAGCCTTTGTTTTTATTTAAAAAATAAAAACAAAATATTTACAAGAATATGATCTTAAATTTTATTTTAAAATTTAAATACCTCTTTTAATAAGGCTTGCACACCTGCAAATTTATTGGGTTTTTTTTTTTCATTTTATAATGATTTTTGCAGAACCTTTTCCCATTAAAGGATAAAATCAACATCTGTCTATTGAAGTTGACTGAACCATCAAACTCATTTTACACCCACTTCATTTCACAGCTACAATTACACTTCCTCAGCCTGGAACATCAAAACAGAGTCACAGCCAAGTTTTTCACCTTTATGGCTACATAAAAAAAAAAAATCTAACAAATGCATTCCCCTATTTATTCATTGGTTAAAAAACAAAACAAAACTATACTGAAAAAAAAGTGAACTGGCGTAAAACAGGAGTTTCATCATAGGTGAAAAAAAAATCGTATCTCAAGTTCCAGATTTCTGGGAGATGGAGGAAAAGTAAATATCTCTATTAAAATCTACTGGCACACCTATTAGTATATATCTTCAATTGCAGTGAATGGTTTATCATCAAAGTTTCACAATTTTCCAAATGTCGAAAGATAAGGGAATGAAACGCCGTCTCTGGTGATTTTTATGTGGGTGTGTAAGACCAAATCCCAAACACAGATACAAAGAAACGAAAATACTAATTGAAGTTTATATCCTATGTAACCTATGGCACGCTAGGATGACTGAGGCATAAAAGGAACCATTTTCATGGTTCTGCATGATAGTATACCTAGCCCATGCAACTTCCCATTGGTCTTTTCACCCAAGGCTCAATTCTATGTTGTAAAGTATCATGGAAGCTTCTCAGAGAACAAATATCTGTCCTACATAGACATGCCTCATAACATCATAGTATCTCAATATCCTAGCTGTAAAATAATGCCTGTGGAAGCAATTAAGAGTCATACAAATCAAATTCTCATTATATTGTGGGCTTTAAATAAGCATGCTGCCATTTGACTACTTTATTAAAAGATTATTTTCAGCATTTTACAGTAACTAGAACAAGAGAATATAAAAAGCTTATATGAAAGAAATAGTGGTAAAAATTATTCTCTATATGATTCACACCAATAGGGGTCATTTAGTTTAAATGTTATTCAGATGTAAAGAATGGACCACTCTGTCCACTATTCCTTTTAAGTACCATAATAGCAGGACAGATGAAAAAGCAAGGAGCAACGAAATTATTCTCAATATTTTAAACTCCACATATTTCCAAAGATATTTTATGATAAACTGCCTTCTAGATACAGTTACCTACTCATTCCATAGTAGGCCTCTTTAATGATTTTCATTGACCCTCAGATTTTGAAGCTAGGTGAGTCCCTATACAACCAAGTTTTTTGTTTGGGAATAAAGAATGTTCCACATCACCGAGTGTTTGCTGTTCAGGCAAAGTAACTATTTTTTTAAGAATTTATCTTATTCACTATAAGACTAACACAAGGAGACAAAAAGTTCTCAGAATTTATCTTATTTCTCTTTGCACTTTGCACAATAAAGTTAACAGCTGAGACTGTATTTATTTTTCACACTAGCTTAAGCATAGCACTGTCTTATAAGGAGATACCCCATTGTCTTTTCTTGACCTCTTTTCACTGCAAAACATTTTCATTCTAATTCTTTATGTTTAATTTCTAATTTTATTCATTATTACAATATTTTACAGTATAGGTGTTAATGACCCCATTAGTGTCCAAGAGAAATGAGTCATTTTACAAAATAATCTATCTTTATACAAGATAATCTATCCTTAATGTTGTTTCAAGTTAAAAATCCCCATACAACTATTTCCCAGGTAGTCCCAAGAGTGGACAAAAAGTTTAAAATAATCATGTTTTGAAATTCCAAACCATGAACTCAATTTTCTTGGCTGGGAAAATTTTAGTTATATCATACCAAAGAATATTCCAGTCTGAAGAGCAAAAAAAAACGATATGCTAAGAGTAGAATAAGGAGTGCTCTGATTAACAAAACAAAACAAATTAAATTAAATCAAAGGGAAAAAAAGAGAGACAGAAATGTCATCAACAAACTATGACCTTGAGGAAGATGCCCAGCTTGTGGACCTCGGTTTCCTAATCTGTAAAATAGTTATAATTTCCTTGAAGGAATAGAACCACCTCACTGCTTAATTAGTTATACAGTGAAAACGTCTGTTGATAAAAACATTGCTTTTTTTTTTCCTTTCTTTTTTGGCTCTGGTGGACATACCCAAAAAAAACCAGTGTGCAAATGGAGAGTTCTGTGCAGGGATGCAGCAGCGGTGGGGTAGGAGGAATGACAGACATCATTTACATATGGCATGTTTCCTCTTTCGCCAACTAATTACATTCTACTAAACAACAAGTTGATAAATACCATCGTTAAGTTCTTTTCTTACTTTTCATAGAACTGTAAAAACGATAGGCAATTTACCAAATAACAGATTAAAATAATTTCAAAGCAGGAAATAAAACACTGCCACCCTCGATAGCAAGGCCAATAAATATACTACAGTCTCTTCTGCTGTGGAACTGCACATAAGGAGCCTGCCGAGTGTTCTTGATCACTATCTTCTTTCACATCTATTTATTAATAGATTCCATAGTAAAAAAAAATTCAATAGAAATGTGAGTCTCATTTTACTGAACATAAAACTCACTCCTTTCAGAAATGTTTTATCCAATTAACTTAAGTCCCCATAGACATATTTCCTAATCATTTTGAGGAAGAAGGAATGATACTTCAAGGTTTTCATTGATATAAAATATGCCTCTAATTAATAACAGTAATGAGAAAATTAAGATAATAGAAGTAAATCATTTCTAAGTATAGAAAGCACCCAAACAAAGAAAGAATTCAGATTTTTGTTAGTTCCTGGCCGGGTGATCATTTATTTCCAAAAACGTGTTTCCTGAAATCATTTTCTTTAGAAAAATTTTACGTGTTTCTTCTGGAAATACAGTTAAGACAGTATAGATATTTGTGACTGTTTTTCTCTTTCGACAAACAGAAAAATGAACCTAGACCTTCAATACAAAACAGAGTAGATGAATAATAGTTTTTCAAAAATAGAGATACGGCTCAACTGTGATTGCCATTATACAGTAATTCGCATTTGTTTGAGAACCAATGAGAATTAATGCAGCAAACAGGAGCTCCCTTGTCCTTATTTGCAGGAGTGGTATTGTTCCAAAGATAATAACTCCCTATAAACTGAAATTACTTAATATCTCTGAGTCACAGGAGTAAAAATAAAGCAGAAATGATAATACTTGTCTCTTAAGAAACTGTAGGGAGTAGATGATGTGTATATAAGAAGCAAAGGGCAGGTGGGAACATAAAATACTCTGTAGCTATTTTGTTATCATTCATATTATTAATATAACTATTAATGTTGTTAGACAAAATAAGTGTTCACAGACCTGCAAAACATAAAGCAGAGTTTTATTAACTTTTTTTTACATGTGCTACATGTGTTATATTTTAGAAGAGATTAAAAATTTAGTTAACCTAACCATGTCTCATAATGATAAAATCCCTGCATTGTGGAGAAGGGCGCTCTCCCCTTGTCTGTTACACGCCTACTTAGAGGTCCTATTGCCATCTCAAGGGATCCTTCCCTGACAGCGCTTTCTGCATCTCTCAGCCTCAGTCCTCCTTCAGTCCTATCCTGGTCCAGCTCTCTCTGTCTCAGATGTGGATCACCCAGGGAAGAAACTACCTTACTCTTCTTCTCAGTTCCAATTTTGCCTTCAAGTGGATGAGCAATCCTCCTAAAATATAGTTCTTAGTAAGAACAGTAAATAGACTCAATTATAAATGCAATAAATAAAATAATACTATGCATTTAAAAATACATTTTCAAGGTGAAAATGATTAAATGAATCATGACACTTTCCTCCTACCACATATATATTACAAATTAGTCAAAAAAGATATGCATTACTGATGTGGAAAGAGGTCTATAATTTATTGCTAGTTGAAAAGAAGAAATTGTTTAATGGTATGTATTGTGTCATCTCATTTTGTAAAAAAGTAAATTATGTACTAATGCATATAAGTATTTGAAATATGCAAGTAAAAACATATTACATGAGGCACAGTAATATACATATTTGTTCATAGTGACCATATATTTTGGATGAGATTGGGGGATCTTGGAGAAGATTTTATTTACTTATTTCTTTTATAGGGGATGTAATACTCATTTTAAATAATTTTCTTTTTTTATTTTTAAACCACATTTTATCATATGTACTCTTAACAAATTGTCTAGTGATTTTGAAGAAGTCAGTGGGAATTTTTTATTTATTTTATCCAATATTGTATTGTTTGCTTTTCTTTCAAAACAAAGAACACGTATTTCTTTAGAAATTAAAAAAACTTAAAATCCCATAATGTTTTTAATTAAAAATGTGGATTTAGGCAAGGTTACCTTTATTGGCAGATACAGCCTTGAGTAGATTGTTTTTATTCTAGTAGAGAATTACTTAGGCAAGTTGTCATTTATCACATCATCTCAGAATTCTATTAAAATGGGCAACAGAACAATGCCTTACAGTGTTGTGAGTATAAGCTAATATAAGTGGATTATATGTAAGAGGTTTAACAAGCTATGGGGATCAGAAAGGGTTATGGAAAAAAAGATCCAGTTCGATATATTCTCTTTTCCTATAAATACTGTACTGCTAAACGATAATTAGAAGATAAGGAGAATCGGGGAGTTTTGTTTTTTTACTGGTCTTAGAAGTCTAATATTCTTCACCCAATAGACTTCACCAGAATTTATTTTCTTAGAGAAGCTGTTTCTCAGAAAAGCCCAAAGGGCTGGCCTACCTTCTCAGATGGCACTTCCCCTGCCTGTCACTGAAGCTGTCAACCCATAGGGTCATTTTTGAATGCTATGGTAAAATGTTTGAATTAGATATTTCTGAGGTTCTTTCCATAGGGTGAACTTCTAGGCCACCAAATTCCTCTTTCCAGGAACTTACAAAATCTTCTATTTCTTAAAGATCAGTTGTAAACACTTACCTTGTAGCTCAATGATAGGAATGGCAGCTATATTTGGCTAAGAACACACAACAGGTGAAACTGCCCTAGGGAAATGTACATTAAAAACACTGAAAGCAAGACAAATGACTGCAGACCAGGCATCAAGGCCAAGTGTGGACATGAATAATGCTAGAAAAGTTTGCAGAGGCCAAGCCATGGAGGATCTTACATGAAGAGCAATTGAACACCACAGAAGGTTTCAAACTTGTTATGGGGTTCAGAAAGATGGTGAAATAATCTCAATTATGATGTGAAAATGTCAACATAAGTCAGCTGTGTCAATCCTTGGCTCAGAACTCTACAAAGTCTCCTTGTCCCAAACAAAGTAAAAGCTAAAGTACTTCTAGTTCCCTACAAAACATTCTATGATCTAGGCCCCCATTTATCAGATTTTAATTCCCACTAATCTTTTTTACACAACAAACATTTCATGGTATCACAAGAGAAAAATATTTTAAGAGCAAACAACAATCATTTGGCCACCAAGATAGTTTGCTTGAAGCAATTACACTCATACTGCTCTCAGGCAGCAAGTACTAAAGCAGTCCCATATCATCCCTTTTTGAGAAGACAACTATTAAAAAAAAAAAAAAAAAACAAAAAAAAAAACACTACTCAAGGAGGACTTCTCTAAAATCCTGTCTATTTATACAATGAATCCACAATATTAGGGAAACATAAATGTCTGGCTGCTTTCCTTGGCTCTAAATCTCAAAAAGGAAGGATTGGAAGGTGGGAATCCAGTCAGCTACAGGAAATCCTGTCCCTTTGAGATTTTCAAGTGATGCAAATATTTGAGCACCCAGCTGGTATTCAAATATCTAACGATGAATTGACTGAATTCTCTGAACTTCTCATGAACATAGGTATGACAGAGCTAAAAATGAACCAAGGCCATTTTTTTCTGCTGCACTTAATTTATGCTCATTCTTTGAGTATGTGTATGTTGACCAACAACACAAGCATTGCTTCACATAAAATAAACTCCCAGTGACTACAGGCATCTTCCACAGATTTGGATGCACCAAAATTTGTGAAAGGGAAGCAAGATGAACTTCGTCACTTGATTCCTAGAAATTTCTCAGCTACTTTTCCCAGATACTCTGGGGGAAAATGAAGCAGAACAAATGTTTGCACAACCACCATTTGGGAAGCCCCATGTCACAACAAAAATATCTAACAAAATTCAAGAAACACAAAGTGATATGTACAGCATACTAAACCCATTTCCAACGATGCTGCCCTCAGCAAAATGAATATGTTCCTTTTTTTCCTCTAAGAGAGGAAGACACTTCATTCCCTACAATCTGGAATGCTCAAGATAGACACTGCAGATGTATCTGAAAACAAACTTCTATGTTGTCAGCAACTCACGAAGATTGAAGGCTGCCTCCTAGTATTGCTAGATTTAAAGTTACGGCAGCATTTCTATTATAAATACAATTTTCCAAGGGTTTATAACCCAGCTGTAAAAAATCTGCTACAGGATCATGTTTTGTAGGCTTAAGAAAAAAGAAAAATATTAAAGTTCATTACAAAAAAAAAGAACATTTTAAATTTCATCTTGAAATTCTAAATATGATTGAATAATTTTCACCCAAAACTTAATTTTAATAAGTAAATTTCATTCAGTAAAATAAATAATGCATGAAAAATAATGACCAGAAATTTATGAGATGAAAATCTATTTTAACCTATTCTGAGTGCATGTTGGAAAATAACTTTGAGCAAATAACTATATCATTCTAGAGTAAATTTGACTTTGTTGGACTAGATTTACTCTCGTAACCATGGTTATAGATAATTATGAATATCTATATTTACCAAGTTGCCAAATGATGTTATACTTTAAAAATAACTCCGGGGCAAAAACCTGCTTCATGAAGTACGAAGAGAGAAGTAAAATCCTTACTCCTGGTAGCCTCTGTTTCTTTCTGATACATACACAGAAATTCATACAAACACTTGCCGTCCCTTCAACATACACAGATTCACATACACACAGATACACACACACCAAGTGCAAAGCTTTTGGTTGTTTTTTGCTGTTCGGGAGTAAAAGGCAGGTCAAGTCTCTGAATAAATAAGAAAGGGGAAAAGAAGGAAAGTCAACCCTTAAAGAGATATATATAATCTACACTTAGAAAGGATGGACAAATAGTGTTAACAATCTTTTGCAAAACAATAAATTTGTATTCTCCACATTGTTAGAATCTTCCCTCTGCCTGCTTAGCAGAGTATTCCTTACTCAGCAGTCATTTCATAGAGAGTTGATAATGATAATGAGTGAAACCACAAATTTAATTTAAAATAACCACTTTCAGAGTGAACTTGTTGTTCCTCATTTAAATCTGAAACTACCCACACAGTTACCAATCAGAAGAGATCACAAAGAAGGCGGAGCAGTCACAGCAGAACTTCATTGCCCTGAGAAGGCAACTTGCCTTCTCGCTCTCTTCTTGGGACTTTCTTTGAAGCTCCCCATCTGGACCAGCTTCCACTAGACCACACCTCTAGATGCTTTTGATTTTGTACTGCCCCTCTCAAGTTTCATCTCTCCCAAGAGTCTCTCTTTTTCCAAATTTCAATAACTCTAATATTTGCATACGCTGTTAATTGGGGTACCAAATCAAGAAGTTTATGGCATGTAAAAGAAAATGTAAGTAAGGCATGTCAGAAGAATATTGTTCTGTATTAAGAAAACATGTTAAGGAAGGGACTTTTAAAGAATACTGGTACCTAGTAAGAGATGTCATTGAAGAGATAATAAATAGGCCTCACAAAGGATTGAGTTTCTCTCTGTGGAAGAGAAGAAATTTTGAAGGATGATACTATTAAATTAGAATGATGTTAAAAATAGATGACTGAAAAAAAAGTGAATCTGATTTTTAAAGGTCAGTAAGATGTACCTAGAAAAAAATACTAGACCACTTGATTTTTAGGGAAATGCAGAACACTGCCATCCATGCATATTTTAATAAAGCTTTTCTTTTTCCTTTTTTTTTTAAATTCTTAGCTTATACCGAGCTTTATGTTGAAATGTCCTTTGGTTTCTGTCTTCTTAAATGTAGCAGACTTATTCCCAAATTAAAGAAAATCAGATAAGTATGTGACTATTACAGTTAGGGATTCTAGAACTTAACATTCATTATATAAATAGATCACTGTTCACTGTTCAGGATGTCAATAGAGGGAAATATTAATTCTGTCCCTTGGAATTCTTCCTCATACCTTGGAAAGAATGTCAAACACTTAAGCTCTTTTCTCCTTGTTGTGTAGACTTGGTAATAACTTCTAAAATAGCTTACTTTCCCAATTACACTTACTGGCTCTGATTTTGTTCATTATCCCAGACACGTCTCACATGTAACCTAGGAACATAGTTTATTCTAAAGACAAGCATTTTTCCCACTCCTTTCCTTTGTCTGTAAAATAGAAAATACTTCTCAAATAACCCCTTGTCCTCTTTAACCTTCAGCATTTTTTAAGTTCTCCTCTATTTTTGGCATACACTATCTTTTTTAAAAGTTTCTATAAAGGTTAGAAAAGGAATTTATTGAATTTTAGAAGCATATTCAATGAAAATTGTACAAGTCTGATAAACTCTGAAGTGGAGATTGATTTTTTCAATGTTTTAACACAGTCGTGTCTCTTTTTTTTAAGCAATGGAGAGATATACATTTATAACAGCAATATTAAACAAGGTGTCAAGGAGCTGGAGATAAAGGCATTAGTTATGCATACATGATTCAAAGGAGTTGTCTAATAGAAACTTGATATACAACTTGCTAAAAGCCCTTTGTCTAAGGATTTCCAAGTGTCAAATAACCTTTCACTGGATATTTTATGACCTATTGTTACCTAGATCTTCATTCAAATATAACTTATAATTTTTCTTTTACTAATCATACCTAAAGCTAAGTCTCTGAATAAAGAATATGTCTTTTTAATTTAAAAATATTGTTAATTAATAAAGGTAATTGTCTATTGATCATTTGCTATTCTTAATATTTAATTTTTAAGAAATTGGAAGCTGGGCACAGTGGCCCACACCTGCAATCCCAGCACTTTGGGAGGCCAAGAATGGAGGATTGTTTGAGCCCGAGTTTCCAATACCAGCCTGGGCAACATAGCAAGGCCCCCACTCTACTAAATAAATGATAAATTAGAGATGGTGTTTGCCAGCCTAATGAAGATTAAATCAACTCCAGCCTGGGAATATGATCTATGCACAAAGAAATAATTGGATCCTCCTGTCTAGAAGACTGACCAAAGAAAGAAGCAACAAGATAGTCTAAAACTCAGGTATATCCCTTCACCATTGTGATTAAATTGAAAAATAAAAAAAAAAAAGGAAAGGATGATAAGCATCCTAAAATTACTTTTACAGTAATACTATTTATTTGTATAATGCTACATAATGTAGAAAGTGCTCTGATCTCACTGAGATAAGTAATAAAAATATTATATTCAGCGTGTAATCCCAGCACTTTGGGAGGCCGAGGTGTGTGGATCACTTGATGTCAGGAGTTCGAGACCAGCCTGGCCAACATGGTGAAACCCTGTCTCTACTAAAAATACAAAAATTAGCTGGGCATGGTGGTGCACGCCTCTAATCCCAGCTGTTAGGGAGACTGAGCTAGGAGAATCGCTTGAGCCCAGGAGACAGAGGTTGCAGTGAGCTGAGATCACGCCACCGCACTCTAGCCTGGGCAACAAAGCAAGACTCTATTTCAAATAATAATAATAATAACATAAATAAAATAAAATATTACATCCAGCTTCCTAGGGCAAAATTTTAAAGCTACATCAGACCCCAAGTAAGTTATTCTACTTAAAAAAAAAAGATGGTGTAGCCTAAAGTATCTCTAAAATTACTCCCAGTTTTATTAGACAGTAACTAACAATGTTTAACATATTGATTTAATATATATGTAAAACTTTACTTTGTAGTATTCTCTAACTTCTCTTTTTATGTGCATATTTACATTGACTTCTTTATTTTTATTGAATCATAGTGCAATACCTCTGCACATGTGGATGCTTATTAATGTCTACTGTAAAAGGCAAAACCTAAGGCATTTTCACATGCATTACAGGCAGAAAAAGTCAGTAGTAAACGAAGAATAAGGTGGGGTTGTTTAGCCCCCACCACCCAGTAGCTAAGTGAGCTCAACCTAAAGTTGATATCAAATGACATTCTCATACCTATAAACAAGAACAGAAAACAGTCTCCAGTAAGAAGAACATGTTACAGAGCAAGGTCATCCTAGAGGTGAGGACTCCAAGCCCTTAAGGGTAACCACAGGGCTCCGAAAAGCTTGCTTATCCAGGTGGGACAGGCCCCAGTCAGTACGGACTATTTTCAGTGCTTAAACTCCCAGCTATGCAGTGACAGAAGAAGAGAGCAATACCTGACAGGAAGAGAACCAAACATTCACACAAAAGATAAAAATACAAAGGAGAGAAGTTCAGTGGACAAATACTGGAATGAGGTATAAAATCAATATAAGCCTCATGGGAAGATGGCAAAAGAATTCAGATAATACACACAGATTTTCAGGAATAGCTTTTTTTTTTTCTGAACAGCCAACATTTTAAAATGAAGAGTCTCAGCTGAATGAAATATACAGTCAGCTGCTTGAATAACTTAAAGCATAAGTCCTTTTAAGAAAAAAAATGCCAAAAAAGGTACTTTCATTTGCTACAAACAAGCACAGAACTAGGAGAGATGATGCAAGTAATGAGTAGAATTTGGGCTCTAGGGATAATATGCTGGAAAATTACAAATTTCAGATGTTTCCATATAATATGCTCAACTTAAAACTATGGCAGATTCCTCAAAAAATTAAAAATAAAACTACCATATGATCTAGCAATACCACTTCTGGGTAGATATATCCATGGGAAATAAAATCACTCCCTTGAAGAGAGATCTTCACTCTCACGTTCATTACAGCATTATTCACAATAGCCAAGGTAGTAATGAACCTAAGTGTGCATTGAGAAACACATGGATAAAGAAAGTGATGTGTGTGTGTGTGTAATGGAAAAAAAAGAAGGAAATTCCGTCATTTCCAACAACATACATGAACCTGGAGTATGTTATACTAAGTTAAATAAGCAAAGCACAGAAAGACAAATACTGTGTGACCTCATTGATATGTGGAATCTTAAAAAGTCAAATTTGTAAAGCACAGAGTCAAATGGTGGTTTCCATGGGCTGAGGAGTGGGAGGAATGGGAAGATGGTCAAAGGATACAAACATTGTACACCTTAAATGCATACAAATTTTGTTTGTCAATTATACCTCAATAATACCGAAAAAACAAACAAACAAAAAACCCATGGTAGATCAGAGTAAAGAACAAAGGGAAAGAAAAATTATATCACTTTTGAGGACGTAGTTTACTTATGAGCCAGTCTTATGAAAATGTTTTTGTTTCCTAGTCAGTGACTTTCAAGGAGTGACTTGAAAGTCACTTCCTTTTTTAAGGAAAATCTACCTTTTCCTCCTGCTAGGATAGTTTTGCCAGTTTTTACAACAGCTATTTTTCCAAAATGAGGAACAGATTATGAATCATCAATACAGTCTTGAAGAAATTATTTGAAAAGTCACCAGTTATAATAATCTATTTTAAATCTCCCGAAGAAAAGGTGTGACAAGTTTGTAAACCAAGAGTCATAAAAACAACTAATAAAATATTTCCAAATGGTGACATCATTTTTCAGGGACCAGTTCTAGAATAGCCTAGGTATGTGGCCCACACTGGTCTATATCACTGGGAAAAAATATAGTAAACACTAGTTCCAGAAACAAAAACATAATTCTCATCTACTTTATATTTCTAAAAAATATTAGCAAAAGTGCCATATATAAAATAGCCCTTGATGTAACAGACTATTCTAAAGGAATTTTGCTTTAATTTTGAAACATTTATGACAAAATTTCAGCAAAAACTTCAAAGTAGTTAAAATAAATTTTACATTGTCCTATTCTCAAAATGCCTAAAAGTAAAAATAAACCACACATATTCTATTTGAACAAGTACCTTCTTGTGACAGTTTCTAGCCACTATCTTGTAAATTCAAAAATATAAAAATGTAAAGAATAAGATTTTACTCATATTTGAAAATCCAAGATGATTTTTCTCTTTCTCCTGGTAATACTAATATTCATTTCCAGCTGCACTGCCCAAAATGGTAGCAATTAATCATAGGTAGCTATTTAAATTTTAATTTATATTAATAAAATTAAATCAAATTAGTTTCTCAGTCACATTAGCCATGTTTCAAGCGCTTGATAGCTACATGGAGCTAGACGCTACTGTATTGGTCAGAGAAGATATAGAATATGTCTATGACCACAGAAAGCTCTATTGGATAGCACTAATATACAGGTTATAAACAGAGAAGGGACATTATACATTTGAATGTATTATGATATAGTTGCTAATAAAAACTCAATTACCAAAGCTGTATTTATTTTTACAAGAAAAATCACACTAAATTTCAAAACTGTTTCTATCATCTTTTATAGTGTAACAAAGTCCATACCCCAACAGAAAGTTTATTTCAATTTTATACTGAGCTCTTCAAACTGGAAATATGGTTTTAAATAAAAAGTCAATTGATTTGTATCTATAGACTACATAAAGACTTATTACATTAACATTCCAAGATTTTCTATGCAGATTCAGGTGAATAGGTTAGCCAAGTTAACCGAATACTCCTTAACCTCATTATTTTATCAGTTAATATCTCTTAATGTTTCATCAGTAAATAATATATCAATTTATTATTAATCTATAACTAGTACATAAAAGTTATTTAATAAACAGTTAATGATTTGTAACTTGAAACATTACAAACATTGAAAGCCTCTTGTCTTATCAAAGAAAAATGGGGAAGACAGAGACTTTCTCCACTTTTCCACATGCCCTTGGAAATTATTTGGAAAAGTGCAAAAGCATGAGTAAATGTACACATGTCACCATTTAAACAAATTTAGTACAGTCAACTGGCAAACCTAAATTTCTTTATTCAGCTGCAATCTAAGCAGACGTACCAGGATGGTGGTAGTGGTGGTACGTGTGCTGGGGGGAGGGGACAGGAAATAGTTAGGTACAATCATAAAATACTTACACACACATCTCAAAACACATCTTATGTCTAAAATACACATCATGAAAAATTTCCCTAGATTACAAAATGTCAGTCCCTTTCCTTACTTCTTTACCATTCTACTTTATCTGCCCATTTTTCTGCAAAATTAAAAAAGAGTGGGACTTCTGACAGTGGTATCCCCAGTTCCTTGATGACTCAAACTCAGCTAAGTACTGTTTAAATGTATTATAGTAAATCCAGAAACAATTGAGGACTCTCTAGTTAAAATCAGGGAAAAGGTAAGTGGGCAGAGTTAACAATATTTCACTCACTCATTCTCCACATCTGTCTGACCAGACTGACATGGATGAAATCACTGTCAACTAAGTTAAAGTTCAAGAAGACTCTCACCATCATCCCAAGTCTTTTAGGAACTATCTGAAAGCCTCCAGAAAAAAAATATAAATAAAGAGAGAGTGGATAAAATAGGAAAAAAAAAAACAATTATAAATCGTCATCTTCCTATTTAAAACCTATGAGCTATAAATTAGTCTGGGTAATACTACCATTGGTTTCCTAATATTATTTACCTTCTATTAGAATTAAGTAAATTAATTGAGAAACCTTCTGCTCATTCTTACTGCATGTGGTAGCTGTCTCACATTCATGTTGTTTACTACACAGTATAGTTAGCTGATTCAAATTATTCCCTGACAGATAAAACTAAGATATACAATATCATATCACAGCTAATTTATTTAAATTTGTATTCTAAATCTTCTTAAATATAAAGAAGAAATTGTCTCCTTAATGTATCCTTAATTCATTGTAGGAGGTGGGAGCAGGCATATCTGCAAAAGTTTCGCTTCTTGGAAACAGGGAAAACAGCAGCAGTAGCATGAGAAGAAAACATTAAAGATGGCATTTAAACTGTTGCAACAAATGAAACAAGCTCATGCTACATTAAATCCATGCATGAAGTGAAGTCTTGAAACTCATCCTCCTTACTAGAATTCTTGAAAAGTCAGTGAAGTAGGCAGAAAGTGCAGTCAAATATTAACCCTGTAATCTATTACAATTCCCTTTGTTCCTAGAAAGAATCTGAAAATGAGAAATCTTGCAACACTGAAGGTCATGAAGCCCAAACCTTCATCTCACACAAGTGAAAACTGAGGCCCAAAGCGATAAAAATGACTTGCTCAAATACACGGCAACAGAATGACAGAGCCAGAACAGGAAGCCTTGGGTCAAGAACTCTATCAACAGCTGACCTGTTGTTAGAGCCAGAGGGCCCTGCCCCTTTCATGGAGAACAACTCCTGAACTCTATACATGTTCTTCCAGGATTCCTATTTGTATTTGAAAAAAGAAAAAAGGCTAATAAAGTTATTTATTGCCTATCTTTTGGGGCCTTTTAAATAGATGTCAATGGGACGGCAAGATAATTTAAATATTTAAAAGATTTTTGAAATTCCTGATCAACTTCTTGTCAGATGGCACAAATGCAAAAGCCTATTTTTCACAAGACCCAGTCTCTTGTATCATCAATCTAACCAAAGACAACTGCCAAACTAATCTTCCTAAAACACTTTTAATCATGTCACTCTCTTACGCACAAACATCTGGTAGCTCCCCTTTGCCTACCAAATTAAAATCCTCACACTGGCATTCAACGCCCTTCACAATATGTCCCAATCAATCTTTCCTTCCTGGTACTTATTACCTGTTCCCCAGCTCAACTGCAGCCACGTGATGGTCACAAACCTTGTTCTTTCCCATCTCAATGCTTCTCTTTGCCCATGCTATTCTCTCTTGTTGGTACACATTCTCTCCTTCCATAGTGACCTGTCAAAAAGTCTATATTATTCAAGGCTATCTTAACTCTCATTATTTTCTGATTGTTCACTTTAACCTCATCCAAAACACATTCACAATTAGATATTACTCCTCCTCCCTTTTAACTCTCCAACAATCTGTTTTTTTTTTTCACAAAAATAATCACATTTCCCCATTTTTACACTATGTATGCACCTGTCCTAACTTCTTTTCCAATCAGACTGAACTCCTTGACACAGTCAGTGGGTCCCACTGCTATAAGCATCCAACTAGTATTGTTGACTTGCATGCCAAAGGGCTTTATGGACAGAATACATGAGAATGACTTAACCTTCACCGAGGTTTATGTAGAGGCCATTTTAGAGGCAGAATGGGTCTAAATACTATATGTTGCTGTCGAATGATTATGAAAAAAAACACGGTGCTGGCTCTTTGTGGTTTCATAGCCTAGTTCTTCATTCAGCTGAAGTTCCCTGGGACTCAACACTCCCTTGAGGGTATAGAATGCATTTAGAAGCTCTGTTAACGATTTCTGAAGAATTTATTTGCTAAATGATCTGGAAGGCTATGTGCAGCTTCCCCAAGGCCTACATTTGTTATTGAGCAGGAAGTATGGCAACTTGTGTTTAGTAATTGGGTCAGTTAGTAATTTTGTTCTTTCGGAAATATCAAACAATAAATAATTATTCTATTGGAATCACATTGTGGAAACTGTTGATTTACTTTCCTAATTTTTGCAACAAAAAATAGTTCTCAGCAATGTTAAATGCCATGGGTGTAATATCTGCCCTTTTAAACTACCTAAGGTGAAATAAAACCACTTCTCCGATGCAGTCCTGGCATCAGCATAATCATCTTACAAGTGGAAACTTCTGTTCATTTTTTAGAATCTTAAAATAAGCTTTGGGTTTTTTTTTTTCCTCCTCTTTTTACCGGGACTATTTTTCTTCTTCTTCCAGCAGGTCAGCATCGGAAAGCAATTTGGGCATTCTATCATGCTCTGATCTTTCCAGATGTCCTTGCCATTCCTTTTAGATACTTTTCTACTTCATGTCCCACATTCTGTATTCTCAGCCTCTCTCTGAGGTTTATGTGGTTTTAATGATCTAGGTGTATGAGTCTCAGGAAACAGCCTAACCAGTCCCATCTGTACTTCTCACAGCAAGACATGTGGCTTTCACTGCTTTCAAATTCTTTGGGTCCATTCCACTCCCATGCAGATAAACACAGCACTAGATGAGAACAGTTAAATGCTCAAAAAACAAGCTGAGTCTGTAATTGGCCTTGTATACATTCCTCAATCTTGGATTGTCATTGAAAATTATACTCAGACAGCCTATGGCAGTGGGTAGCCTTTAAAAAGAAAGGATTATGTACCCTATTCATTTCTCTTTTGGAAATCTAGAGCTATACACAGCTCAGAAATGACAGTAATAGAGAAATTTTAGTGCGTAAGATGTATCATCTTTTCTCCCTGCTTTGGTAAAAAATGAAAGGAGGATTTTTCAGTGCATTTCTTTGAATTGATGAGGTTAATATTTTATTTGAACACACTACAAAGGCATAAATAGCTTTTTTATACCTTTATATTGACAAGAATAAAGGAAAGAATGGTAAATTCATTCCCATGATCAATTTTGCTGAAAATTTCACAAGCTAATCTATCCTCAGAGTAGATTTGGAAATAGGATTTATTAACAGCATCACCTTCCTCCCAACCATTTCATTTCCAATCTGTTGTCAACATTGCCAAGGCCTCCTTGTTCACTGTCCACCCCCATATGCAGTCACTTTCCAATTCTACTAATTTCTGCTTTGAAATGTCTCTCAAATTTGTTATCTTTTTATTTCCACTGCCAGTCACTTTTCATATAAACTACAGTGCTATTACCCCATATCTAGTCTCCTTTCCTGTAATTAATTCTCTACTCTTCCCATTCCCGGCCCACCCTTTACTGAAACCACTCTTGTTATCACAGCTCCTTGCCCAAAAACCATCAATGCATACTTGTTGATAGTAAAATGCCTCATCCTGACCCTCCAGGGTTCTGATATTTTACCACAATCAATATTTTATCACAATTCAATATTTTATGTGCTCTAATCAACTGCACACTTACTGTCTCCCGACTTTACCAACTGTAATGCCTTTCCCCTTACCAGACAAAAGCCCTACATCTCTGCCTGTTGAAAGTCTATCCATCACTCAAGGTTAATTCCAAATATTATTCTTCTAAGATACCTTTCTGATTCAACCTAAACTTCATGAGTTCTTACATTTTTATGAAGAGCTATAACATTTCTTCCTCCTTAATGACCTCTCTAGTCTTGTAGTGTACATATTTGATTATTTGTAATCTGCCTTTATATCACATTTTGAGTACCCAAGTGCAGTACTTGTATGCTTCTGTGTGTCACTAATTTGTACAGACTTGATTTGTAATTCAGTACCTAGCATGAGGTGTGCCACACAGTAAATGCTCGGAAATACACGTTGAATTCAATCAATATGCATTTTCTGACTTACCAGTGTTCTGAAAACTTATGTTCATTTGTCTAGTCATTTATACAAATCTGCATAGATTATGCACCTGCTTGTTCTTTTTAGCAATTTCCACTACAACTAAATGATTTTGCTTTCTTTCCAGTTGACAGTTTATGATTTCCTGTCTCTGCATGTTTTTCTTCTCAATTTTGAGCTTACCCCAACCGTGGGTAAGCTGCAGAGTTATGATTCTTTCCCAGCCCCACTTCTGTGTTATCTATCTCTGTCTCATTCTGACATACTTATCTCTCTCCCAAGTTCTATTTTTAAAAGATGACTCAATAAAATAAATTCATATAGATGTCTTTATTTTCAAGAACTTACCTTTTATCTGGCATATGAGTGATTAAAAATTTGTTCAGTATTCCAGCCTGCCCTTCTGTTTATTTTCTGGTGCCTTTCCCCCTTTTTCTCCTCTAATTTTGACACTTTCTCTTTCCTCCAACTTATTTTTTTATTATTCTAACTCACTGTCTTCCCTATCCTGCCTTCTTGAGTTCCAGTGAAGAAACCACATTAGACAAGGCTGGTTAGGGGAAGTAAGGACATCAGGTCAAGGAGGAAGGTACTGGACAGTAAGACATCTTAGAGTCATCCTTGTTTCCATTATTTCCACAGTCTTGCCACCCCATAACAACCAATTACTCCACAAACCCTATGAAGCTGCCAAATAGATATCTCTTACCCTTTATTTCTTTATTTCTACCCCACAGTTATTGCCTTGGGTAAGGCCTTCATTGTCACTGACACACTAAGTTGTACTGAACTTCTAGTTATTCCCTATCGTGGTTTATCATCCTTGGATTCCATCATTTATACTGTTGTCAGAAAGAACATTCTACAGTGCTCATCTGATTATGTCAAGCCTTTACTTAAATCCCTCAATGACATCCTATCACCTAGAGAAATACTCCAAGCTCCGGAGACATCTGGATCCCACCTAGAGCTCCAGGCTCATCTCTCACTGTACTCTCTGATCACAAGCTGTTCTCTACCTAAAGAAGCCCTCTCCCACTCATCCCTGCACATCCTGTGCTCAGTGGATGGGCCACTTCCTCTTGTTCTGCAGTCATTTCAAGTATCATTACCATGATGAAGTGTTTTCTCTCCAGCTCCCATCCAAGATAGAGATGTCCATTCCCTGCCTTGGGTAGCATTCTACCATATGTAAATTTTACTTATTTCCCATAGCATCTCTAATGTTTGTTATAGTGAGTGGCTAAGGGCACAGTCAATGGAGCTAAACCATCTGGCATTGAATCCTGGTTCTGCCACTTTCTAACTGTGGAACCTTGCACAGTAACCTATCTGTGCCTCATATTTCTCCTTAGTAAAGTGGAAATACTAATAGTAACTTTTTCATAAGTTTATTGTGAAGATTAAGTAAGTTAATATATAAAGCCATTAAAACAATGCTTGGCCTGTGGTAGGCACTATACAAATTGTAGCTATTATAATAATGATTTTTGTGAGTCCTTGCTTGATTGTCCCCTATGACAAGTACCAAGTCTTCCTGTTTTTATCTTCGGGGTCCAGCATAGCCCCTAGGACTCATTAAACACTCAATAATTGTTTGATCAGATAATGAACAAGTGCGTTAAAACAAGAATAACAGAATAATAGAGGAACAGATCTTTTATTTCCCAAAGTTACAACATGTCTTTTTTTCATTGCTCCCCTTAGATGTGAAGGGAACTAACTGTAAGGGTAAAAATACAAGTGGTCATAGTGTTTTAGTTGAGAGTTTTAATCTAATTATTCAGTGTGCACAGAGGGTTTCTATTCTATCATCTCTCATAATTACATGAACATTTACTGATGTGCACCATGGGGAAAATGCCAGCAAAACCAGGAAACAAGATTGGCTAAATAATTCGTAGGATCCAGTACAAAATGAAAATGCAGGATACTTTGTTCAAAAAGTATTATGAATTTCAAGACGGTGAAAAAAGATTGTTTAACCAAGGGTGAGGCCATTCTGAGCTCAGGGATCAGCCGGACTGCACAGACTACCAGCCCATGAAGCCAGCCCTGCCAGAAATCCAACACCCTCTTCTCTATCACTCTGCAATGTGTTCTGAGGCACAGATCCAGTTGATCTCGCTGCCAGCTTTATCTCTCACTGCCAGCTTTATCTCTCACTCCTAGATTGAGATGTTATAGGTCAATAACATTCTTAGTATGCCTCTCCACCACCACTCTCCAGGATTCAGCCTCCACCATCCACTAGAAAAGCCACTGGCCACTCTATTTATCTCAGTGATCTAACTGGCCCATTTTCCACCATACTCAAAATGCTCCTTCATTTATCAGCTGTTTTGGGGACACTAACCATGTTCCAAACACTCTGCCTATGGTGATAAATAATATATAATATAGTCTCACTCTCTCGTTTCCTTCATTTTATAAAGTGATTTCTGGCTTGCCCTGGGAAATCTGTGGTTGCTAATATCTAATAAAAGAAGAAAAGACATAGTGGCTCATGCCTGTAATCCCAGCACTTTGGGAGCCCGAGGAAGGAGGATCGCTTGCAGTCAGCAGTTAGAGATCAGCTTGGCCAACTTAGGGAGACCGCATCTCTACAAAACAATTTAAAAATAGCCAGGTATGGTGGTGTGTGTCTCTAGTACTAGCTATCCAAGATGCTGAGGCAGGAGGATCACTTGAGCCCATGGGCTCAAGGATTACAGTGAGCTACCATCTTGCAACTGCATTCCAGCCTGGATGATAGAGTGAGACCCTGTCTCTAAAAAAAAGAAGAAAAGAAGAACAATGACAAAAACCCACTGAATTCACGTATATGTTTATGGTGATAACCAACGGAAGGCCAAATCATAAGGAATGAGAACCCCACACAGGCCATTGGAGAAGCTATTTAATGCTATATAACCCCTTAAACAAATACAATTCGACCTCTTCTTAGATTATCTGGTATTCAGGCTTCTTGCCTCTCATAATCTCAAGTTAAATGCCTTGGAGAAAACGTTAGCAAGAAGTCCTATTTACAGAGGTAGATGGTAAAACAAGGAAAAAAGAAAATAATTAGAAGATATATTTGTCAGGGGAGGGAAATTGGGGTTGAATAAGAAGAAAAAGATTAAAATAGAAGGTGGGAAAGGAAAAATGAAGCTTGTGTCTACTAAAGAAAAACCATTTTCAGTGCTCCTATTACACAAATGCATTGTCGGCATCCTGTATTAAAATATGAATTCAGTGCAGAGGCAATAAGGCTGGCAGTAACGTGCACAGGCAGAAAGCCAAGAGCTCTGGCTGTTGGCAGCCACTTGGCCTCGAGGGCCCGTGACAGAGTCCAGGTTATATCTGTCAGACTCTGAGCCACTGAACACTGTTATTTCTTAGTTAAAGACTCTGATGTTGGCTTTGAAATTTACTTCATTTGGGGAGCACTGCGCCATAAACAAACAGTGATGGCATAGCAGAAAGGAACAGAATTTACTATGTCTGGTGAGGAATTACTGCAGGTGTAGTATTACTCAAATAAATGCAGATGGTGGGAGATGAAGGCTCTCTCCAACAAATTGCATTGTTTCTTAAGGTTGATTATGTTTTCAATGAATGTTTATTGAATTCCTTGTGAATGCTATAGATATAGCAGTGAGCAAGAGAAACGTTCTTCTGGGGCAGTGAGAGAGTAAATATCAGCACATAAATGAACAAAATAATTTCATATGAAGATACAAATGTAATGAAGAAAATAACCACAAAGATATCAAAGAATAACTGGAGGAAAAGGGTAGGGTTATCTTGATAGGTTGATCAGCAAAGGCTGTTTTGACAAGGTGGCATTTTTCCAAAACTTGAATTATAAAACTTAGTCTGACATGAAAAGAGGTAGAGGTACATTAAAAGTAGAAGGATCAGCATGTGCAAGGGTCCTGAGGTAGGATGGAGGTTGACTATTCCAGGAACAAAAAGAATATCAACAAAGCTAGAAAGTAGAGAGAAGGGAGAAATATACAGAAGGAGATTGAAACGGCAGACAAGAGTTACTACGTAGAGTCTTACAGAGTGTTCTAGGCGATAGTAGGGAGTTCTACATTTATTTAAAAAGCAATAGAGAATCCTTGAGGGGAATTAAGAAAGAGGTGATATAATTTGATTTCAGACTTTAAAGCAAAGATCACACTGGCTGCTATGTGTAGAAGAGATTGCAGAAGCAGGAATGGGAATAGGAAGAACTGTTAAGAGGCTATTACAGTGGTTGAGGCAAGAAATGATGGAGGCTCTCGATCAGGATGCGAGAAATGGAGAAGGAAGGAGAGCGTGCACCAGGGAAGAAGGATGGTGTCTGCAGGTGTCCTGAATGTCGGGAGTAAGCAATGCCTGTACACAGCCCTGAAAGGTCTCCTCATGTCGGGAGGGTTGGCTTCTATAGATTCCCAATTAGTAATACCTCACTTATTTGAAGCCTACATCTTCAGCGGCCTGTTATTCAGAACATAAAACTGAAAAAATATTACCATCAAACAAAGTCTATATATTTAAGTTCCCATGGGTTACAGATGGTGAAAACTCTCATTTTGAGTCCAGTTTTTTTCACAAACAAGTTTTTCTGTTTGTTTGCGTGTCTCAAGTGTGGGTGACAGATCAGATTCAGGACTACAGAAGTGAGCAGATAGTGTTTCTAAAATCCTGGCAAAGTGAGATTAGGAAGAAGAGACAACTGATATCCATGCAAAAAAAGAGAACACACACATATTTTTAAAAAGCACTCAAAAATATTTTAATATCTGAAATATGGTCCCATAGACTACATTAGCCTTTGAAGGTATTGAGAGACTACAGTATTTATCCGTGAGTGCTCATGTAAGGGGTAACTTCTATTTCAAAATCTCAAACCACAGATACCTCTCCTGTGTGTTCCCTCAATGCCCCTTGCCTCCTTTCCTCAGGGTGCTTACTACATTGTTATTTTCTCTTTCTGTATCTGCCTCCCCCACAAGACAGTGAACTCTTTGAGGGCAGCTCTTTAATGCCTTTTTTTATCTCAGTATCTCCAGGACCTACCCCAGGGCTCTGCACTGAGAAGACTTCCAACAAAAGTGAGAAAAAGCCCTAGAACATCAGCTGTTCATTTTTACTTCTGGAAGCAACAGCCTGTAATCCAGCAGCTGTTGTATCAGTAGCCAAAGCATTCCCCAGCTTTAAAGAGATTTGTATAGGTACACTTTAGGCTTTAAAAAAAAAAAAAAAAAACAGATGGATGGAAAGTTTTAAACCATTGCTTCTTGGCAGAGCAACTAAGGTGGGCTCAGGCAACAGGGCTGATATAATTATAGTTTTGGTTATGCCTGATGTGTTTTATTCTGATGTGCATATTTTGTGCTCTATACACAGTTTAAAGATTTAATTAAATGTTTTATTATGGGGAACACAGTGCCAAATATCAGCATCATTACCTTTTCTTTCTTTACAGAAGCAGCTATTTCCTCATTTTGTTTTTTGGAGATTTTAATACATATCAAACTTACATTTACTTAGTAATATTGACACGGACATCAACAAAAAAAGCCCTATTTCTTGTTACTGAGGTTTTTCTTGCAATGTAAATAAACCCTCTGAGGGCAAAGAACATCTCTTTCCCAAAGTGCCAGATGGGGCACTTTGTCCATAGTAGGCCATGGCTGAGAGAGACAGGAAACAGCCAAACTGGGAAACCTGAGGCAGGGCCTCCAGGACACAACACCAGCAAAGCAACAACACCAAAAAGAATAACAATCAATCAATCAATTAATTGATAAAAGCACCACTTGCAATAGTCAAAGTTTCTACCTGATGATAGTCTGAGGCCCCAGTAAATATTATACAAAGTTTTATGTTTTCTTCCCCTCTACCCCTATAAGAACACCCTTTGCTAAACTGCGGAGGTGGCCAAAGAATTTCATAAAATAAATACAGAAGAAAAAAAAACAACTCATCTCTGGCCTTTCAGAGTCAGTTGGAATACAAAATCATTTAAGCGGCCATTTTAGGAAATATTTTCTCCTCAGAATGCAAATTTATAAATATTTCCATTTTCACTGAAATGAAGTTATTCCTTAAATGAATGACTTCCAAACATTTTAATAAGGCAACAGAAGCTCCCTTTGCTCTGGAAGAAAGAAATCAAGGAAGGAGAGAAGAAAAGTGAAGAAAAGGAAAGAAATCTTTCCATTGTAGGTGGTGTCTCCATATACATATGTGTGAGGGATGAGGAAGCTGTCCAAGTGGGTGTGTGTGGGAGTGTGGGTGTTTGCTTTGGTGGGAAGTTGGGGATAGGTCAAGAGAAGCACTGATAGGCTGCTTGGCTGCCTAGCTTGGAGGAGCTCAGAAACCTCAGGATCTGCCTCCTTGTAAATTACTGTGCCAAAGCAACATATCAGTTCTCTTTAATGAAAGCTCAGAATTGCAAACTGAGGCCTGGCCTGCTCATTGTCAGGAAAGATGGTGCGCTGAGAAAGATGGTGAGCTGAGGAAGATGGTTTGTGGGAACTTAGCAGGGATGGAGAGTTAGAGGATGTTGCAGGCATTCTTCTTTTTAGAGATCCTCCACAGAACATACCTGTTCCCAAGAGGCCTAGGAGTCCAAATTAGGAAGCACATATATATTTTTAATAATTTTAACCAGGGATCCCTCTTCCTTTACTGAGAGTAGCTATAGTTACTACTACTCGACAGGGTTACATTACTTGTCCTAGTGTCAACCTGTCCTGTTCATACTTATCCCCCTGCCCCTGCTCATACTTATCCCTCTACCCCTGCTCTTCCTTCTTTCACTTTCCAATTAGGGGAACTCAGAAAGAAGACTCTAGAAGAGGAGCCCCAAACCTTTTGGAGAAAAGAAAATGTGAGCACTTTTGTAAGATGAAAAGGCAGATGTTTTTATATGCTTCTAAGACTAGGAGATGATATGGTCTTTTTTTTTTTTTTTAAGTGGAATAACTACTCCAAAGATCTTTGCCTCAAGAAAAAAAAAAGAAGAAGAAGAAAAGGAAAGTGAAGACTCCCTCCTTCATTCCTGCAATGGGGACCAAAAAATTAGGACCACTGTTCATTAATCAGATTTTTCTACTTTTAAAAATGATAATTATGGTTACAATGACTCCAGATCCTTTTATTTTCTTTTCGTCATTGCTTAAATCTGATTTTTGCAACATTTTACAGGCTTTCATGAAAATTATGAGCTATGCTTAAATTGCTTTAGTGGTATCATTTCATAGATACCAAATGAATAGGATTATAGTAAACAAAGAATTAGGTCTTAACTTAAAAATTATTTTAAAAATAACGTTGTTCAATTCCCTAAAGTAACAAATGGAACAGAACTGAAAAGCAATAATATTACAGTTTTAAATTGGTAGGATCTTCATTTTAACTTAAACCATGTTTGCATATAAGCAACCATCTGGATAAAATGTTTAAAATTCAAGAAATATATCAAAAAACTGAATCATTTTGTTGACACAAAGTCAAACACTTGGATTTATAAAAGCATATGGACTAATGCATCGTATCCTATCTTGATAGAAAAATACCAAAAAACAAATTAAAAGAACTTCTCAGGAGGGCACAGAAAATTCATTATCTGTAGGAAGGGTCATCGTGGTAAAGGGAGCTATCACATTGAGTTTTGATTTGAATAGGAGTCTCAGTACTCCTAACAGTCATGTGAACTTGGGCAACTTATTTAACCCCAATAAGCTATAGTTTTTCAACATTTAAAATAGACATAATGATAGAAACATTTGGGATCATTCTGAGGATTAGTTTGGAAAAAAGTGGCAATGTCCTTAGTGTCCTTCAATAACTTATGTCCAGCTGAACCTTCAGATGTGACAGTTATAGGTTGAATTGTGTCTCCCCAAAATTCTATATGTTAAAGTCCTAACCTGAGTACCTCAAATGTGACCTTATTTAGAAATGAGATCGTTACAGATATAATTAATTACGTTGAGGTCATTAGGTTGTGCCATAATCCAATATGACTTGTATCCTTCTAAAATATTGACCATTGGAACACAGACATATACACAGGCAGAAGGCCATGTGAAGAGACACAGGGAGAAGACAGCCATTGATAAGACACAAAGAGAGGCCCAGAACTGATTCTTCTTCGCAGCCCTCAGAAAGAACCAACCATGCCCATGTGCTGATATCAGACTTGTTAGTCTCCAGAACTGCAAAACAACAACAATTCTGCTGTTTACGCTACCCAGTTTGTGGTACTTTGTTACAGCAATTCACCAAAGCGATACAATGACCTTATTTGTAAATAGGCTTTTGTAAATATAATGAAGATGAGGTCACACTGGATTAGAAAGGGCCCTAAGTCTAGGGGCCAGCACCTGTGTAAGAAGACCGCATGAAGACATGGGGATGTAGGGAGACACACAGGAAAGAAAGCTATGTGACAACAGAGCTAGAAATTGGAGTGATGCAACTACAAGCCAAGGAACAGCAAGGACTATTAGTAACCTCTGGAAACTAGAAAAAAGCAGGGAGGTACTCCTGTAGAGCCTCCAGAAAGAGCCAATCCTTCCCACTCCTTGATTTTAAACTTCTTGACTCCAGACTTTGAGAGAATAAATCCCTATTGTTTTAAACCACACAGTTTGTGATAATTTGTTACAGCAGCCTAGGCAACTTATACAAGAAGTGTTACATAAAGTACTCTGTCCAGTTATAAAAGGCTATGTGAAGATTTATGATTAGAAATTATGCTTCTACAACTTGTCCAGAGTTTAAGGTGATCAAACTCAGAATGATTCTCCGGAATTGTTACTAGCAAACGTCTATACTGGTGTGACGTTCGAATTCTGCCATGTCCTAAACTACGTTAGCATGTCCTGCCAGGAGAGGAAGAAGGAGAAGAGTATTCATAGGAGAGATATTAAAGACCAGAATATTATCTACAAAATGTGTAATGGTGAGTAATATAGAACTCAACTTAAAAAAAAACCATTGCATTCTAATTATTAAGCTCATCGAATGCCATATATGTGAAAAGAATAAATAAGGAAAGATATTACATACGGTAGGAGAAAGGATAGCAGTTTTTACCAAGAATTTATTTTCTAGCATAACTCTTTCTGCTGGTGGCATAAATCTTAAATGTTTTCAACTTCAACCCCAGTTTCTATAAGAAAAAAAGTATTTATTCTTTGGAAAAATTGAATTGGACAACTATAATGGTCTTTTAATCATCTGCTTCAGGAGACTGTCTCTGTCTGTCAGTAAACAATGGAACAACTGATGTTGTTCTTTTAAAACTTTACAGCCCTTTAGATCTACTTCATTTCAGAGTCCCAACTTACACTGTTTAGCTTTTAGAAGACATAACCACATCTGTCCACAGTTACTAATTCAAATATGAAGCCAAATCTCTGGTTCAATATAGTTTTACATTCATCTTCAAACTCTAAGTGAACTAGGCGTTTTAATTATTTCAGTGTGTGGTGATTTTTCTACTAGCAAATTGGCCACCAATTTCATTTTCTATGTGATCTTAAATCCCATATAAACATGATTTTTATTGTTGCTTTGTGCTGTTTTTGTTGTTGTGTTTTAGTTCCTCCATTCTAAAATAACTCTTTCAAAGGAAACAGTTGGCCAACAACAAATTATGAATCTTTGGGCAAGATAATTTAACTTCTTTGTTCCTCCATTTCTACATCTGGAAAGTGACGGTGAGAACCTCACGAGGCTGTTGCGATATCAAATAAATTAATATGCCATGATGTCTAGACCATAGGAAGATCTCACTGATGTTAATTCTATCTTCATTTTCCTTAACATTACACATCAAACAATTGAAAGAATCAGATAACAGCAGAACCCCACTATACTTCTGCCCATGCACTCACACTCATGTACTGTGCATAGCAACATACTAATTTTTCTACCCACGTTCCTTCCTTTAATTCAAAATCTGCAAATCCCACCTTTCTCACCTACTGAAGGATACTGTTCCAGAATTTCTACCATCTTTTGCCTGTATTTAATATTGTTCGTTTGCTGTTGTATAAAAATATTTCTTTATTTCTTCTATCTTAACCTACCGTAACAAAAGCAACCTCTATTTTCCTCACTTCTCGTATTTTTCTGATGCCTTTTTAAAAAGCAAAACTCTTTAAAATAATTATTTATGTTAAGCCACTCCAAATCTTCACCCATTCTCTCTTAGACACACTCCAGTGTGTAAAACCCACACCACCCCACAAAAGTTAATTTGGCACAGTTGATCACTATGCCCACTTGGAGACATTTTCCTTACTTAACTTCCAGGCCAACAAAAAAAATCTTGGTTTACCTACCACCTCATACATAATTCTTTCTCAGTTTCCATTGCTGTCCTTCTCTTCTTCCAGACCTCATAATGTTGGAATGTTCCTATAAATTAAACCTTGTTGTCTTGTTTCTTTTGTTATCTTCATTCACTTCCTTTTATTCTCTCTCAAGCTCATGACTTGAAATCTTTACCTTCTATATTAGAGTAACTGCCAAATTTATATCTCTACATAGACCTTTCTCTCTACCTTAATTCAAGATATTGGTTCAAGAAACTGGCTTTTTGATGTCTTGACTTGAATGTCTAAGGGTCACCTCAAATTAAACATGTCCAAAACTAAACTTATTTTTGTACTCTGCTTCTCCCGTAACCCTTCTTCCTTTCCATCTTAATTGATGGCAAATCTATTATTCCAGGTATTCAGATAAAAAACATAGTAATCTTCTTTGACTTCTTCTTTTCTTTCACAGCCCACAGCAAATTGATCAAGGAATGTGATCTTTAAAATATATGAAGAATCTATCACTTCCGTGGTTACTACCCTGGTTTGAGCCTGGACCATGACCAAGTCTTACCTGGAGCCTCCTCTTACTCTCCCCATTTCTCCATGCTCTCCTACAACCTACTCTCAATACATCCACCAGAGTGACTTTTTAAAAATATCAAGTCAGATTATTCTGTCTCTCTCTCTTTTCCCCCTTTCCAGATCTGCTATATTCCTAATTGTTCCTTAAATATCTTTCTCTAGATACTCACTTTATCTCCTTCAGATCTTTGCTCGAATGAGGTAGTCTTCATTTTATTTTTAACTATTTTCACTCTCCATACCAGCACTCTTGGTCTTTCATACTCTGTTTCAATTTCTCACCCTCTCACACCTTTTTAATTTAGTTTTTATTGTGTTCATCATTTACAAACTGTCTCTACCACTAGGTTGTAAGCTTTATACAAGCAGGAAAGGTTTTTGTCTTCTTTTATTTACTCTGTACCTAGAGCAATACTCAGCACAGAGTAAGTACTCAATAAATAGTTGTCAAATGAATAAGTAAATGAGTGAGAAATGTATAAGCAAAAAGGAAGAACATTCTGGAATATAATCCCCTTTTAGAGTCTTAAAAACCTTGACAGTACTAGGAGTCATTGTTATACATATTAAATTAGGAAAAAATCAGTCCCTATGTTAAATAGACAACCAGACAAACCAAAAACCTGTGGAAAAGGCTCTTGAAAGAATTCAATATTATCTCAGGTAAAGACCATGAACCAGAGCACGTAAAACACTTTTGAAAATCACGACCAAAATGCTCAAAGAGTAAATGACTGTACCAGAGTCATATACAAAGATTTTAATCTTCTGCACAATACAAATTGGGGTAAATAGAAAAGCAAGTTAATGTCTCACAAGTGCAGGAATGAAAATTAGTTCTGTATCCATCTTAGAAGAGCTATGCAAATAATAGTAAAAGTGCTGGAGAAACACAAGACTACACAACTCTAGAGAATCCATGAGCCAGACAATGTGTTTGTGAATCCTCTCTGGGTCCTTTGTTTCTCCTTCTCATGTTTACTGTCTAATATTTGACCACTTTCTTGTTTGTTAGCGACTCTCACAGGAGAGCAACCTAAAGAAACAGAGGGAAACTTAAGCAAGTTAAAGCAACTCCTTGATAGCAGCCAGGAGGAATATGTGGGGATCTTAATCTGGACAGTAAGAAGCATGTGGTATTATTAGATTGGCGCAAAAGTAATTGAGGTTTAAAGTATTCACTAAATGATTACTGAATATATTTTTGGAAATTGGCTGCTAACATTAGCTTGATTCAATTCAATTAAGGTGAGCATTAAGTCTGTCTAAAATACGGTCAACTGATAGAATAAAAAGAACTCATGACATATTTGAATGTGTTAAAGAAAGAAGGAAAAAAGAGAGAGAGGAAGGATGGATAGATATAAGTCTCTGCTATGGAAATCATCACAGGAGGTAATTTAACATAACGGAAATCTATCTAATGTAAAAAAGAATTAAGGCCAAACTTGCCTCTACCACTAACTAGCAGCCAGTGGTAAGGTTGGAATACCTAACTTTTCAGAGTCTACCTTCTTACTTGTAAAATAGAGATAAAAAGTTTAAAATTAAAAAACAGACAGAGTAATATACTTTTCTCCTAATGTTGCTATGATGATTAAATGGATAAATTACGCAAAACACCTAATATATAAAACCAGGTGTCTGTTCTCCACAACCAAACTCCAGTTTCTATCATGTTATCTGCCTGTTTGTTCAAGTGTTGAAAATCATCTCATTTTAAGAATTCATTCTTCTTTTCCATTTTGTAAGGATAAAACTCTGAAGAAAGATCTAGAGGTTAATTAACATATGGCTAAAACTATCATGGGAAATATTAAAAAACAGATTAAAAAGTACAACTGGGACCCGTTTTAAAATGAAGGCAGCCTATTGATAAAAATGAGCTTTTTTCTTTAATTGCAGGAAAATATTGTAAATGCTCTATTTAAAAATTATAGAACAACATCTCTTGGAGGAGGGATAAGATTTCTTTTCTTTTATACACAACAAAGTACAGAAAATACTTTGCTCTTTGTAAAGTTGTTTGATTATAAGTTCTATGGGAAGAGGACTGACTTGAATAGTATGTGGCTTGTAATTGGCAATTAGGAAATAGTTTTGCATGAATACAATATGCACAGATTATAGAGTACTTGGCTCAGGGATGGGAGTCCATCTGTCTCTGCAGGTGATCCATACATAATAAAAGAATAAATAATAACAAGACAGGATTTTAATGGCATCTAGATAAAAGGCAAAGCAGCCACTCTCACAGTTCCTGAACCATCATTCATAAAGTCCTGGCAAAGCAACTATTCTCACAGTTCCTAAACCATCATTTATACACTCTTGGCATTCTACTGAAAATCTCACAGTCCACATGCAGTATATATTAGTATATATATAAACAGATATAAAGGGACTAATAATTTCTTGACTCCCAAAATATGGTATCTTGAAATAACCAAAATAGCCCCTTCATGGTAGAAAAATAATTTAAAAAAACAGGTAAAAGTTCGGAAAAATGATTTCTACTCCTCTAGTTAAAAGCTAAACTCTAAACTTTAGTTTTTGTTTATTTTAAAAATACTATTTATATAATAAAATTACATCAAAAATTTTTGTTATTTAGACTTTAGGATAATGTACAAAGAGCTAATAAATGAGCAGAATGTATTTAATAATAATAATTGGATATATTAAATTCCCAAGCCAAAATGATTTTTAGAATGCATAGTTAATAGTATGAATAAGCACAACCGACTTAAACTGTAAACCATACAAGCTCAAGTGGGCATTGATAGATGTTGTCCTCATTCTAATTATTACTTAGTTCAGAGTTTGTGAAGGTAAATAGCATTGCCTACACATCTCTTTGCCAACTCTCTTACTAAAGCAAATGGAACCAACAATACAAAGAACAATGAAAAAGAATTTTCTAATAAATCTTTTATCCTCTAAAGTTGTATGAGAAGAAAGGTCACTTTCTCACTCACTAGCTTACCTTTTGGTGCTCTTATCTTTTTCTTCATCATACATGTTTTTATTTATTATGCTCTATGCATTCTTCAATAGCATCTTTATTTATGACTTTGTGAATCAACATCTTTGTAATAGGAGGCGAAAGTCACTTAGCTAATTACACATGCTTGATAAGCTGCATCATAATAACTACTGCAGTATTGTACATTAATTAAAGGTATGTAAATTACTGCAGTTATTTTCATTTGCAGAAAAAAAGAGACTTTTTTAGTCATTTAAAACACCCTTATTGCCTCCATATCCATCTTCTTAAGTATAGTGTGCTTTTAACCCAATTCATAACATCAATAAAGAATGAAGGTTAAATCCCACTCTACCAGTATTACCCAAGAAATAACAGCAAAGACAAAGCAAACAAAAAAACCCTCAATTTAATGCAAATAATTCTGAACTGAGTTATGAATTTTGTTATTTATAAAGTGTCTTCCATATAAATGCAATCCCAGTAGAACAGAACAGTTTAGACATTCCCTGCCCCACAAGGATGCTATAATGAAATCTGACTTGGTCCAGCCAGGATATTAGAAGTGCATAGAGAGATAGAATGTGCAGCATTAGAATATTAATATGACTTCTGTATGAAGATTGGAAATTCTACAAAGTTATGAACAAGGTCAAAATAACACTTAGATGATTTACTGCCATAGAAAAGCATACTCTCCTATGAGTGATTTACTGAATGTTATATAAAAGTGGAGTGTGGACAAGCTACATTCAGATGCAAGCTTGCAGCTGTCAGTGTCTACATTTGCTCAATCTGGCTAGAGGATGATTTGAAGGTTGATTTAATTGTAGCTTCTGAATCATGCACTTCTCTATGTTTTAAATTGTTTAACGTAAATATAAAAATGTTAAAGTAATTTTAAGACTGTAAATATTTAGTATCAAATCTGCAAAATCTCATTCTCCTCTGGAAAAGTGACTGAAAATGAAAAGACTAAGAAAAAAACACTATTACCTTAATAATAATAATTGCTCAATAATTATGGAAAATTTATCCTTAGGATGAGAAAGTCCATAGAGTGTTCAGATGGAATGCTGAGAATAAACAAAACAACTAGATTTGTGATTGAGTGATCAAATTCTAAGAGGAACACAAATATATATCTGTAGAAAAGAGTTCAGAGATCAAAGTTACCAGTTCCTAAGACAGCATTGTTTTGGTTCCTTGCAGGTATCATAATAGCCTAAGTACATATTCCACTAAACACAAACTCAAAGCCAAGATTCAACTCTTGCCGATGCTACCAGCACCAGAACACAAGGCACAACCAATGAGCTTTGCCAATGTAATCTACTCAGCTAGAGCTCTCCTTAAACACCTTTATATTCCTTGACAGCCTTCATCAGATTCCAAACATCACCTAACCATTTACTTCCCAGCATCAGCAAATCATCCTTAGGGAGAGTATCTTGTTCTTCCTCTGCAAGCTTTTTCCCCCATTTTTAATTTCCACTTTTATACATACCTCCTTTTCTACATATTTTCTTGCCGGGCTTTCTGGCACATTCCTTGGATATTCTTTTTACTGAAAAATGAATAGAAGACTAGAAAATAACATGGCGCTCCATCATAGACCGCCGGAACATGCAACACCACTATCTAACTCAATACGCTCCTGCATTTACTGAGTGCGAAAGATCCCCAATTCGTTGAGCCTGCACATGCAATGAGGAAATGTTGATGCATCTTCTCAGAAGTCATTTGGTAGGAAATGGAAATTAGAAACCCATTTCTACCTAAATATACGTGCTGTGGAGGAAAGAAAATGAGTAAGCACAGGAAAAAAATAAGTACAGATACACTGACACACATAAACAAAAAGAGCACCATGCACGCATGTAAAATATGTCTACATGCCAACAGGAAAAGCCATGCATACTACCAGTACACATGAATTAATATTGTTAGAACTTAGAATAGAAAAAATATATAAATATATCTCCCTGTTTTTCCTGCAATAAACTCACCATCCTCAGTCGGGACATATATATTTAAATATAGGCAGTCTTCGCTCTGGTCTTGCACATATGATGAAACCACATCCAAGTTATTAGTAAACCACACAGGAAGCATGACTTCTGGCAATCTGCCATCAATGATATTCTGGGGACACACAGGAGCAAATTGAGTGGCATTTCTGATATCTGACCAGGGAGATGGTGGTTCTGGAGGCTGAAAACGACGTTCCCCTGTTGGTGGGGCTGCATATGGAACCCCAAGAAATTGAATAACAGGCCCCAAAATTTCATTATTGAGTTCCTTCTTAATCCCTCTTATCTTTCCAAAGTTGGTAGCCACCAGTGGGTCCACATCATCCAATTTTTGTGATAGCACATGGCCAGCCTGAAGCAAACATCCCAACATACAGAGAGTCAATGGGGCACCCAATCCCCGGTGTACCAAGCATGCCATCACTGCTCTCCAAACATAATTTGGCCACGTGCATCTGGGCAGTGCCATGGTCCCACATTAGTTGTCTAGTTGTCTGGTTACAGTGAGGCAAACGTATTTATATCCACTTGAGAAAGACTGTATAATGGTAGAATATACCTCCGATTTCTTACAGGGGAGCTTGTCGAGAAAAGCTCTGAAAGATCTTCAGACAGCAGATATCTCCCATTGATTTCACATGTATTGGAGCAGCATCTTCAATCATCACTATTTATCAGACCATATCCTATTGAACATTCTGTTTTCCATATTAGCAGTGTGGCAAGAGTGGGCATTGACTGCAGATTTCTCTCTTATAAATCAAATCCAGTTAGCTGCAGGTCTATATCCTAGAAAAAATGAAAATAAATCATGAGCTGGAACAAGCTAACATAGACAGTGTGATAACTAGATGTTTTACAATCTACAGAAATACATTAATAATGACTAGCATCAGGTAAGTTAAATGTTACCATAGGAAAATCATCGATTGAAGTGAGATGACAAGTAAACTAACTGATTATAAGATTATTGAGAAATGCATCTGCTGACTTTATATACATTTACATGGAAGCAGGCTTTATTAAAATACACAGTTTTAGAAACATGTCACAGTAAATTATTTAAAAATACTGAATGTTAGGTGTGAAATTTATACTTTATTAATAGTCTTCAATCACTTCAAGCAATAGAAGATTAATCTGTTTCAGTTTTAAAACCCAATAGCAGAAAATATTTTAAGAAACTGGCAGTAAACTAGCAGAACAGATACAAACTCTGTAAGAATGATTGTATGCATTGGAAAACAAACAAAAAGGTGGCTCCCAATCCCATGCTTATCAAAAAAAGCAAGATAATATGAGGACAAGAAAATTCATATGAGTTCAGCTATGATTATTCAGATGAAACTACCTCACTTCCTTGCTGTATCTCAAATGTTTTCATAAAATTTTGCTTATAGGTTTCCTATTTGAAATTAAGATTCAAGAATTTAAAAGAGAAAATGGCATTAGATACAATTTGTAAAAGGGATAGAAGTTTACATCTTTTTTTGCAGACAAGTTATTTTACCATCTTGCTATATATTATAGATATCAATAAATTTGCAATGCAAAAATTAATTTATGACTCAAAGTCAATATATTTTAAATTACAGTTTTTTTCTCACTGTCTGTTAGAGATCAAAGGAAGATTACAAAAAGAGAGTGTGGTGATTAAAAAAATAATCATACCTAATCACAGCATCTTGCATATTAACACTAATCAAACATCTATCACTGTTTACACAGTTCAACTTAAACTGCATCAGACTAAAATATAACATTCAGTGCAACGTAATCCACAGAGCAATGTGATGTTAACTGTCAAATAACACACAGCTCAAAAAATGTGTCTTTTCTTGTTCAAGCAACCTTTTGAAGTGCTTACTTTGAAAATAAAGTGTTGATTTGTATTAGAGATGGTTCTATCCTGTATATTATGGGAAGATTGCTAAAGAAGTGTTGGTCTGGCAGTGAGACTGCCCTGACTTTGTGTTACTTAAAAGGAGATTGTAAAAACTATATAGGGCAGCAGGAGATTTGGTTCTGGCCTAGTGTGTCTTTAGCTCTGAACAATCCATCACAGAAGGCTATAAGGAGATAAATGTCTTTCCTTGAAAATACTTTAGTCTGTGTTAATTCACATACCTTTGCTGTGAAAGCACATTAATATACAAAAGACAAGCTTAGACCAATCCAATTCCTGTTCCAGAACTCTAGCATTTATCGAAGATTCAGCTACACAAACCCATTTCTGTAAAGTGTATATAATGCTGACTCTTCTGCAGCATCATAGTGGGCCACAGCATGAATGAGTCTTTGCAAGTTCCTTTTGGTGTTAAAAATGCACTGTTTTGACACCTAACTCAGAGAACCTGTGGTGAGGTCTTAAAAGTCCATCATCATGTTTTATTCAACCTAATTTTCAAGTACTCTACAGCAATTTCCAAAAGTTTTTCTTCGCACAACTGATATCAAATACTTGTTTTGTTATTAACAAAATAACACTCCTTTTTTTGTACTTAGAAATCCCTGTGTTAAGGATAAAGAAGCTCCTGTTTCCCACTGATGTGCTACTTTAACGCAAATTGCACAGGATTGGAATTCTGCATGCCATGATGGATTTTCAAATTTGAATGATGTTTAGCTCCTGAGGTTACAAAAATATCCCATTTTACATGTTGTATGTTTGGAGAACTATAGTATTGACCCCCCAAAATTTTCAGAAGTTGCTACTATAATAATAGCAGTCATCCAAATCAAATGTAAAAATGTGGCTTATTTAAAGTACTAAAATTTAAAAAAATATATGCCTAAACAGAAAGTCTCAAATTTGTTGACAATTTTCCCCCTATTTATTGATGCTTCCTTAGTATATTAAAAATTCCTCAGTTTTCATGCATTTATGTCTCATTTACAACCCTATGAAGTGGATTCAACAGTTATCCCCTTCTTACTCATGAGGAACTCAGACTTGAAGAGGTTAATTTTTACCTTGGCCAGGGCCTCTTAGCTAATTAGTAGCAGATCCAGGAGCCCGTTGCTATCTGATTTAAAGGCCATCCTTATGATCACCGCACATAATACAGTCCCTCAATTCACAATGATCACTTTTTAAGAAATTGATCCTAGTGTATTTAAAATTGAACTGTAAAAGTATTTTATGTTTCTTCAGAAGACGAAGTCTCAGTAAATATTCTGACAGTTTCATAGGACAGAGAAATTAAAAAATGATCTACCCTATTCTTATTGGAAGTTAATATTTTATTTTGCTATATATTTTTATACATATTTTACCAGTTTTACTCTATTGAATGTAGTGATAGGTTTCTCTTACGTCATTACACAAAATCATGTTAAAACAATGATTTGTGTAATAATTTGGTTATTTATTAGTAACCAAAAAAACCCCAAACTATGACAACCTAAATGTCCATCAATAGATATTGATAAATTAATTATGATGTATTCAGAAATTCAAATTGTATACATTAGTGAAAATAAAGGACCTAAACCCAAAATATCAACATATATAAATCTCAAAATTTTTGGCAAAACAAGTCACAGAAAATTAGGTACAGCAAATACTATTTAAAGCTTAAAGTATGTAAAAGAATATTATATATTATTCTCAAATACATAAATACATAGTAACAGGATAGCTGTCATCTCTGAGTAGAAAGGAAAGAGAATAAGGCTCATTCTAGCAACTAATCAATTAATTGGGCCAATTATTTAATTGACACCTAAGACGGATAACCTGTGGTAAGGCCCTAAAAGGCCAGCAGCAAACTACAGCAAGTTTGACAAAACTTTAGTATTTGAATTCCCTGTATTCTTTTGTATGTTTGAAATATTTCAGAATGTATTAAAATAAGAAGGCCAGAAAATCTTACTCAGTAGACCAAATCAGATATTACCCACAGATTAGCCTATCAATCCACACATAGGACGAGCTTCGTCTGACTTCGAAGTCAATGGGGATACTAGCTCATAAATTTCCCCATTATTCCTCTTTTTGACTTAAAGCATGTATAGTCCCACTAACAGAATAAAATAAAAATAAATAATAATTAAAAGTGCATCATAAATGGTAATACATTTTCTCCCTTACATTAATTCATCAAAAGCTGGTCCCTCAACTAGTTTGTTTCTGAGAAACTCAGAAAAAGGAGTAGGGAGAACATTAGATAACTACAGTGGGTGGCCACATTCATCCAATCTTTCATTCACTCAACAAACATTAGATATTTACAATGTGCAAGCTATTGCACTGAATGTTAAGGAGAATTGAAAGACATGAACAATCTACTCATTACTCCCAAGTAGCTTATGACATTGTAAAGGAATAAGTAATCTAAAAAAAATTACTCTAATGCAAGATGAAATGTGACATGTGTTCAATAAATACATGATGAATGTGGGAGCAGGGCCTAGCAGGAAATATCTGACTTATAACTTTACGTACCTTTTACATATCTTTTTCTAAAAAAAAAGATATGTTTTTATTTCTACCTTGCTTTGTTTTCTTGTTTGCATTTATTTGTTTTCTTGTTGAACTCAACTCCTCCCTGCTAAATTTCTTACCTGGGGCAAGACTTTGCATATGTGTTTTAAAAAATATCTTTATGTCCCTCATAAAATGTATATGAAAATTTGTTATATAGTGCAAGCATGGTTGAATCTCAGTTGGTCTGGATTGGACAGCATGGTTACCATTAGAGCTCCCTGGCTTGATGGTGACTCTTAACCAATGCTATACAATATAGAGTGGATCCTTGTTATTCATGGTAGTTATGTTCTATAGTCATGATGAACACTAAATTAGGGAACACAGACCTTTTGTTTTTAAAGACATACACGTGTGTGTGTGTGTGTGTGTGTGTGTACACACATGTACACACATGTACATAGATATACCCACATACATAGATATACAAATCTCACATAGATTATAGGTTATAATCCTTAATGCTTGCAACTAGTAGATTCTGTTTTATTTTATGAAAGAAAAACTGAGGTTCTAAAGCATTAAGTGCCTGAGGCCACCTCACTAACAGGTGCTAGAGTTGGGATTAAAATGCCCCCCAATTGATCCCAAAGATGAAGCATCTTGCACTGCACTGCACGGCCTCTACTATCTCCAATCTGTGTTCATAAAGTAGAAACAAGAAGGCAGAGCAATGCCTTGTTTGACTTCAGCTGGCAAGATGCTCATAGGGTGACAAAGTTTTGCTGCTTTGCTCATGTCTGTGGAATGATGGTAAACGTGCTGTAAGTGTTGATTTTAGGATTACAAATACATTTTAGTGAACAGACAAGTTTGCAAATACAGAAACCAGGAATAATGAAGATCAACTGTACTAACTAGACAAATAATGTTTTGCACTTATAGGTCTGTGGGTTGTTTGAAGTCAGGCCACCCTAGCTTATTAACTATATATGGTAATAATAAGTGGATATAAAAATGGACTTAGTAATACTAATTTAACAAATAAGGTAATTTAATAATATCTGGTTTCAGCAGAGTGTGGTGAAACTTGATGACCAAGGCTAGCCATGTACTTGGAATATATCTATGTGATCAGTTCACTGTAAGAGAACCTGATTACTGACAGATACTGAGTTCCCTGTAGCAAAATGTTTCATATACACTAGTGGTGGTTAAAGACCTAGAGACAAAAGGATATTCTTCATGACCCAGGAGTGGGAGAACAAAGAAGCCAGAGTCTGAGATTTTTAAATTCAGTTTAATGCATATCCTTCTTCTGCTGTTGCCATACTGTATTCTTTGCCTGTAATAAAGCTGTCCAATGTATATAAACTGTTTGACGCCTTTCAGCAAATGAATACTTAAAGTAACTAATGTGTAATTAACTCACATAGTAAGTACTTAAAATGGGATGAATAAACAAATGAACACAATTTTACAAAATGATATTAGGCTTCAAAAGAAGAGACAAGTCTACCTCCAGCTAGTAAATTAGAAACGAGTTCATGAATCCAGGGAAATTTAAGATGGGCTTAAAAGAACTACGATCTGGACAAACACTGTTGGTCACAGAAGGGATCCCACAGCAGAAAGAATGTTCAGTAGATACTGTGCTGCTCACCCTTCCTGAGGGCAGCTCACATTTTAATGACTGGTTCCTGCCAGTATTCAAAGGCCTGGCCTCCTTTTCTCAATACAGAATAATCAGAGGAGCCCCAAAGCTCCCCATGAAAATGGGCAGAGGGAGGAGTTGGTTGAGATTCTCCTACTCCCTTACAGGAATTGTTTCCAATGGCACATCCCAGGAAACTTCTTGTAGACAAACCTTCATCTCAAAGTCTTATTTTTTCCTTTGGAAGCCTGACTTATGACAGAAAGAAAAGTAAAAGGCTTTTTTGAGGAACGCACAGTCTAGTTTGCCCAGAAGACAGAGTAAATGAGGATGAGCATTGGATAAGATTGAAATGGCAGGCTAGAGCCAAATCAAGCAAGCCCTTCATTAAGAGGCTAAAGAGTTCGGATTTTATTCTCTAGATGACGAAAAGCCATTACACGTTCCTAGCAGAAGGAAAGTATTATCAAATTCATTCACAAGAAAATTAAACCGGTGGTATTTTGGGGCAGAGATCTCTAAAGCAGCGTGTTCATACCCCACCACAAGATGATTAGATAAGGGAACTAAATGGTTGAACTTCTATTTGCCATTTTTTATGTAAAACAAAAAGAGAAAGCAATTAAAGTTTGCTAATATGAATATATGATGTAACAGCAGTGTCATCACAAGGCTATTGATGCATATAGCACTTACAGTGTTCCTGGGAAGGTAGATTGGTCTGTAGTGCAGTTGGTTAACCACCAATAGCACTTTGTTTTTATTAATTGTTCATTTTCAATGTGCAGTGATGCATTAGAGTTTACATCATTGGATAAATAAATTTACACATTTGTATCAAGTTGTAATTAAAGTAACCCTTAAAAAACAAACTACTGGATTAACTTTTTATCAAATATCAACGAAAGGGAGTACTAGAAATACAATAATAAATAAAGAACTGTAAAAAGGCAAAATGAAATTTCTACTTTTAGGACAAGCTCTTCTTCAGCTATATCACAAGATTAAAAATAATGGCCATCTAATCAGATATAATAACAAATCAGAAAAAAATGTTTGAAAACCTCAAGAAGATAACTTGAAGTCTGAATTAATGCCCATTTTAGTAGCTGGGAACTGTGCCCTAAAAATCTCTGTGCCTTGAGATATTAGTGAATAATGCAATGAAGTCATCAGTATTTATAAGACATTTTAAAATACTGTTAATTTTATCTTTCTCATTTTCTTAGTGTCTATTTTTGTGTATGTTTTGCAATCTGGTGATAGAAATATTTATTAAATATATATATATGTATATTCCTACATAAATTTTTGATAACCAAACCATATTTTTTACTAAAAAGTAACATATATGTATATATGCATACACTTTTCACCTTTTAGCAAAAATATGGTTTGGTTATCAAACGTACAGACTAGATACAAAGGTGTGGGAATCATTACTTTTGTGAATGAATTGGTGTAAAAGAAACCAGAGAGAATCTTAATTCCACGTTCAGTTTGAAATATCAGCTGGATTCATCCACAATTATGTGAAAATGGCAACAAAAACAGCTACTATTGTAGGTCACCCTCTACTTGCCAATCGCTGTCCAAAACACTTTACATAGTTCATGTCACTTAGTCTTCATAACAGATTTAGAAGACAAGCCCTCTTATTTGAGGTGAGAAAAATGTGGGTGAAAGTGGTCAGATAACTCTCTGAAGGCCACAATGCCAGGAAAAGGCAGATCCAAGAAACAAACCCAAGACTGCCTAACTCCAAAGAACATATCCTGCACCTTTGTGACACAGGAGTTTGTGCTCTGCACCTCAGTGAGACCAATTCAATAAAGTCCTATGCTCAGGTTGAGGAACTGAGGAGAGTGAAACACACAGAATATCAACAGAAGGAAAATAAAAAGGCTGCTCATCTGCTTGCCGGGGTTAGTTAATAGTCATAATTTGCAGCAGCTCCAAAGAGTGTGGTATTGAAACTTTTTTCCAGCAACATTCAATAGCCTGGGGCAGAGAATAAATGATAGAAGTCAGGGTTGGGGATAAGGAAGTAAAGAATGATAGAACAGCAAAGAGCAAAGGTTACAGAAATGGTAATCCTAATGTTGAACAGATCAACTAAATCTAAACATAGACTTAAGCAGTACCAGAAGGACACAAAGGGGAAAAATATAAAACAATTAAAACCAAGGCCAAAAAGGGTTTACTCTGAGATGAGAATATCAAAGTTGAAGGTCTTGATCATGGAGAAGTTCCAAGGGATGCTAGGACCCATGTCATGACCATATTAACATAAGGCTATTGAGAACTAAAGTGGTGACAAGTTTACTCTGCCATGAGCATCATGTAATAATAACTGGATTAACAACAAGCACCAAATGAGTAAGTACTGGGGCTAAACATTGAGCTAACTGCATCATCTCCTTTATTGTCTCTAAGTACCATGAGGTAGAGATCATTATCATCTTCTTGTAACAGATAATTAAACTGAAGTCAGAAACACAAAGCCACAGTAACATCCTTCAATAAAACAAGAGCACATTTTATGGATTCAGTAAGCTTCAAGAAATAGAAAGAGATAAGGCAGAAGAATTAACACTCTCTAAAGACAAACGCTGCCTCCTTCTTAATTTTGCCCAGAACCTCCTCCTGGGAGAAATCGTGGGCAGCCCCCAAAAGTTTTCCAGAGTTGCATGATATTCCCCATTTCTCTGCAGAGTATATAAACGGTTCTATTTGTTCTCTTTCCCCTTGGGCTACTTCCACACTAAATGTACCTCTCCAATAACATTAAAAAAAAGAGAGAGAGAAAATAGAATGTTAATGAGAAAAGGCCAACTAAAACTTAACATTAATTGGAGAAAAAAATTTACCAACAAAATATTTTTTTAAATAACAAGGAGTAACACCTGAGTACATGGTAGACGTTATACCTGGTAGCAAACTAATTTTGTGAATAAACAATACTACTGGAAGGTAACACACATGATATGGTTTGGCTCTGTGTACCCACCCAAATCTCATCTTGAATTGAACTCCCATAATTCCCACGTGTTGTGGGACAGACCCAGTGGGAGATAATTTGAATCATGGGGGTGGTTTCCCACATACTGTTCTCATGGTAGTGAATAAGTCTTATGAGATCTGATTGTCTTATCAGGTGTTTCTGCTTTTGCATCTTCCTCATTTTCTCTTGCCACCACCACATAAGAAGTGCCTTTTGCCTCCTGCAATAATTCTGAGGCCTCCCCAGCAGTGTGGAACTGTAAGTCCAGTTAAATCCCTTTTTCTTCCCAGTCTCAGATATGTCTTTATCAGCAACATGAAAATGAACTAACACAGTAAAATGGTACCAGCAGAGTGGGGCACTGCTGAAAAGATACCCAAAAATGTGGAAGCAACTTTGGAACTGGGTAACAGGCAGAGGTTGAAACAGTTTGGAGGGCTCAGAAGAAGACCGAAAAATGTAGGAAAGTTTGGAACTTCCTAGAGACTTGTTAAATGATTTTGACAAATATACTGATAATGATATGGACAATAAAATCTAGGCTGAGGTGGTCTCAGATGAAGATGAGAAACTTGTTGGGAACTGGAGAAAAGGTGACTCTTGTTATGTTTTAGCAAAGACTCTGGTGGCATTTTGCTTCTGCCCTGGAGATGTGTGGAATTTTGAACTTGAGAGGGATGATTTAGGGTATCTGATGGAAGAAATTTCTAAGCAGCAAAGCATTCAAGAGGTGACTTGGGAGCTGTTAAAGGCATTCCGTTTTTCAAGGGAGGCAGAGCATAAAAGTTCAGAAAATTTGCAGTCTGACAATGCCATAGAAAAGAAAAACCCATTTTCTGAGGAGAAATTCAAGCCAGCTGCAGAAATTTGCATAAGTAACAAGAAGCCAAATGTTAATCCCCAGGACAATGGTTAAAATGCCTCCAGGGCATGTCTAAGGTCTTCACAGCAGCCCCTCCCATCACAGGCTTGGAGGCCTAGGAGGAAAATACGGTTTTGTGGGCCAGGCTCAGGGTCCCTGTGCTGTGTGCAATCTACAGACTTGGTTCTCTGTGTCCCAGCTGCTCCAGCCGTGACTAAAAGGGGCCAAGGTACAGCTCAGCCTATGGCTTCAGAGGGTGCAAGCCCCAAGCCTTGGCAGCTTTCATGTGGTGTTCAGCCTGTGGGTGCACAGAAGTGAAGAACTGAGGTTTGGGAACCTCCACCTAGATTTCAGAAGATGTATGGATATGCCTGGATGCCCAGGCTGAAGTTTGCTGCAGCAGCGGGGCACTCATGGAGAACCTCTGCTAAGGCAGTGTGGAAGCAAAATGTGGGATCAGAGCCCCAACACAGAGTCCCTACTGGGGAAACACCTAGTGGATCTGTGAGAAGAGGGCCACCTTCCTCCAGATCCCAGAATGGTAGATCCACCCACAGCTGGCACCATTCACCTGAAAAAGCCACAGACACTTAATGCCAGTCCATGAAAGCAGCTGGGAGGGAGGTTGGACCCTGCAAAGCCACAGGGGTAGAGCTGCCCAAGACCATGGGAACCCACCCCTTGCATCAGTGTGACCTGGATGTGAGACCTGGAGTCAAAGGACATTATTTTGGAGCTTTAAGATTTGACTGCACTGCTGGATTTTGGACTTGCATGGGGCCTGTAGCCCCTCTGTTTTGGCCAATTTCTCCCATTTGGAATGGCTGTATCTACCCATTACCTGTTCCCTCTTTGAATCTAGGAAGTAACTAGCTTGCTTTTGATTTTACAGACTTAGCTGGAAGGGGCTTGCCTTTCCTCAGATGAGACTTTGGACTATGGACTTTTTGGTTAATTATGGAATGAGTTAAGACTTTTGGGGACTGTTGGGAAGGCATGATTGGTTTTGAAATGCGAGGACATGAGATTTGGAGGGGCCAGGGGCAGAATGACATGGTATGGCTCTATGTCCCCACCCAACTCTCATCCTGAATTGTACTCTCATAATTCCCACGTGTTGTCGGGGGGACCCAGTGGGAGATAATTTGAATCATGGGGGTGGTTTCACCCATACTGTTCTCATGGTAGTGAATAAGTCTCATGAGATCTGATGGTTTTATCAGGAGTTTCTGCTTTTGCATCTTCCTCATTTTCTCTTGCCGCCAACATGTAAGAAGTGCCTTTCATCTCCCGCCATGATTCTGAGGCCTTCCTAGCCATGTGGAACTCTAAGTCCAATTAAACCTCTTTTTCTTCCCAGTCTTGGGTGTGTCTTTATCAGCAGCATGAAAACAGACTAATACAGCACAGCCCTGGAAGCAGCGCTCAGTTAATTGGGCCCAACTTGTTCACCAAGATTGTTCTTCCTGGAGAATGCCTTCCCCATCAGTTTTCTCCTGGAGGGACCACAGCTAGTACCTTTCAAGGCCTGGCTCAAAAGTCAATAAGACTTCCTTCCCTAGTCCTTCAAGTCATAAAAATACTCCCTTCTCTTATCTCTCAAAACACTTATTACATTTTTTGCAACTAAACACACAGTACTTTTTTCCACAGTAATTTGTAATCTCAGTTTCCATCTTCATTCCTATATTTGGCAAAATAGTACTAGGCATTGGAGAGGACGACGTGAACAGGAGAGGAATAGTGCTAATATTCATGAAGACAAAAAAGTAACTATTGGGTAACAGTCTTAGTACCTGGGTGATGATATAACCTGTACAACAAACCCCCATGACACAAGTTGACCTATATAACAAATCTGCACATGTACCCTTGAATCAAAAATAATTGTTTTAAAAAGACTGAAGTTCAATGGGGGAAGATAGACTTTAAGTAAGTCAATTACACAGAGAGCTATCTAGTAATAAATACTGTATGAAGAAGGATAATGCAGGGTATTTTGAGGGGAGATTTAAGAATATGGAGTGGGAATGATGATCTTCCTGAAGAATTAATCTGGAAACCAGGGTCTGAGATTGAGTAGGAGTTGGCAATTGAAAACCAAGGTATAGAATGTGCCAGAAGTAACAGGAAACCCAAATGCTGTGGAGGCTGGGGCTTTCCAAAGAAATCACTGTGAACTGAGAGAAGGGTAGCCCATCAGACAGGAGAGGAGAAAGGATGTGACAACTCAAGAATTTGTTGGCCATTTTAGGGGTGTGAGATCTTATCCAAACTATGATGAGAATCATTATAATCATACAAATGGCATGATCAGATTACCCTTACACTTTGAGAGTACAGGGTGTGTCTTTTGAATTGTTGGTTTTTAACAACCATCCCCAGAACAATGCATTACATTGTAAGTCCTCAGAAAATATTTCTTGAATGAATGACCCATTAATTCATTATACTATTTTTCATCAATTAACACAACCCTCAGATTTTATTTATCCATCTGTGATGCTTGACCTCTGTGAAGGCTTTAGCTTAATTAAACTTGCAGCCAGGGGGGACGAAACATAGAAGAGGTGGAAACAAATGACAATACAATGGAAATTTCTCATCATGTAGGCGTGTGCATAGATATCCATGTAGACTGGCAGCTAATTCCACTATTGTGTGGCAAAAAAGAAAATACAATAAGATTCTAAGATGCCATAATAGCTTTTCTGACAACAAAAAGAGAAAAAGATTAAGGTGACAGCATCGTCTTCTGCATTACAAAACTGAGTATTTCTGCTATAACCATCATTACAACTAATGGCGAAATATTAGACAGCTTCTTCTTTATTTTGTTATTCTGAAGAGGAGGGCTGAAAAAAAATTTAACATTAACTATATAAGTTTTACTTTCTATTTATTCTGAAACTATTTTCAGGTGTAATCTCCAAATATTAATTGTTAAATCTAGAATCTACTTAGGAAGCCTGACTTCCAAATGAACAGGGAGGTGAAGGGGGCAAGAGGGGCAAAAATCAATGAGGCAGAATGTTATTCAAAAGTCATGGGCAACAGTTTTAATGTATATGTAAAATACCACAGGATACATTTTTAAAACCAATTGATGACCCTGTGATCCCACAGAAGAAAATGAATAATCACTCAAGAGCTCAGAAGAGACAGCCTGGTAGAGCTGATTACTTCCCTTGATATTAAGTTGATGATTTTGTCTGGAAGGGGCCACCTTTGGGTCACAAGTCATTGCTTCCAGAAGCAACTTAATTATGCCTGCTAGTATCTTTATAGAGAAGCTAGCACAACCTAAGAAGAGTGCTACAGTCTCAACTCATTCTTTAAGCTTATTTTTGTGTGTAGTGAGTTGCTCATGCCTGGGAAGAGTGGAAAATTGCCATTCCTGGTTCCCTGCTTAATTAAAGTCCAGTTAAAAAAAATCCCTTGTTGCCAGAGAATAGCTGCAACTTTGGCAGAGGCAGTGCTAAGTTTGAGTATGGCCCTGTGCCAGGGTGTGTCAATCTTGACCCCTTGGAGGATGATCAGCAGAGAGTGGGTAGTTAAACCTTTGTGTCCATTCAGTCCCAGGCTTTTGCTGGAATTGGCAAATACTGTGGTGACTATTGTTTAAGGAGTAGCTGTCTACTAGGAACTGGACTAAGACCACCAACGCCTTTCACATAAGGCACCGAACAGCAATAATGGTTTCCTGTCACTCCTGACCTGGCTTAGAGCTCAACCAGTGATCCAAAGGAGAAAGAATATCACACTAGCAATCTCCTTTATATATCTACATCATTTTCTTCCTTCATATAAAAGTTGCATTAGTACTAATAACAATAACAAAATTCAAAATAATGCCCTGTTCATGGGCCATTTGTGTAACACAAATAGTATATCAATATATTAATGAATAGAATAGAATATTAACAAGAATTTAATATACACATGGAATATAGGTTGCCAAATAAAGTCACCATTTAAATTCAAATTTTATAATAGGGAGAATGGGATTATAAAGTTTTACAAAATGGAAAAAGATCTTAAGTAATGACGAAAATCCCAAACCGTTATATTTTAAATCTTATTGTCTTATTGTTCACGTTCTACCTGTTTGAAATAACTTTTAGTAATTCCAACGTTCCCTGAGATATCACATTTTCTTCATGGAAGAAAATAGCTCTAATGTACCTTCAGTAAATTATAACAATATAAATAATCCTACTACACTTGTAAGTCTTGATCAAATAATTTATCAAAGTGAAGTATATAAACTCTATATGAAATCACTAAAAAGCCTCAGTTACTATTTGTCTCTAATTAATATTCAATTTTTGAATAGAATCCTTCCTCCCTTTGGAATTTTGTACATTATTTAAAATTATTTGTCAATTCAAATAACTACTGATTATACATTTTTTAAAAAGCAAAAATGAAGATCCCAGGTATTCATTACATAAAGAGGTTACATGTTTAGTTACTAACATCCAAGGCTAGAACACAAGTCGATTTTCATTCATTCATTCAATAAACGTTTATTGATTTCCAGTTATGTACCAGGTACTGTTCTCTAGGCGATGAAGAGAAATACACTCAGCTCCGAACAAACCAGACAAAAATCCCCTACTATGGTGGAGGTTATACAGACTACTAGTACAGTATTCCTTCAAAACAAAAAACGCTTTCCTTCTTAGATGTTGTTATTAAAGACCGTGGCGTGAAATAACAGGGACTTTTGGCATCAATCTTGTAGTAACATATGTATTAGAACACTTGGCACAGTTAAACAGGTAATGAAACTGGTGACTTTTTCTACCCATAAGAAAAAGAATAGATAACACTGTCACTTATGTGTAAAGTGTTGGACAGTAAGTAATACAGATTTAAATTAGAAATGACAGATGCACTGACTTGTAACATAATGGTTGCTGAAGTGAACTTTTATTCCTTTTAGCTCTATAGTTAACTATTAAATTGCTCAAGTTTTATTTTCAAGGTGTGAATATTGTGACAACCATTCACAATATTCACAACGTTCTATGCTGTAATCACTTTTTCTGGTCAGTTCTGTCATAGAAGTGGTGGTTGTCACATGGAAAAAAACTTTTACTAATGATAATCTCAACCTGGATTTTATCAACTCAATATTACTTGATTACATGTTTGAACTTGTTGATCTTCCAAGCATAGAAAGTATTCCATATGACAATATGAGAGTACTCATTGTGACTGTTTTTTAAAAAGCAATGACAATTTTCAATTCATTTTCAAACATTACAAGTAACCTCTTTTCTTCTCCTGTAGATCTACCATTCATTGGGTGTGTCAGGGAAGAAAAAAGAATCATTATGGTTACAAAAAACTGATGACAAACATTGGTATAAAAAACAGTATATCAATTGGATGTTTCCCAATAGGCATTTGTTGAGAACCATATGTATACAATAAGACCTTCATATCATTGCCTGATTATTTACTCTTTATAGAAAGTGTCTGTGCTATTTCAATACAAGCAAAATATAAGAAAATCACATTCTAAGAAAATAGTTGCCCAATATTCAATCTCTTCCCCAACTTCTGCTTTTCCTCCACATGCACTGCCACCATCAAATAAATAAATAAAAGTAAGCAAGCAAACACATTAGTCTATTTATTTTCTAAATTATGCAAAACATAAACAGAATTATAGGTAGAGGAAAGTTGACTATGCAGTTCTATTAATGAAGCACCACCTACAGCACCTCCAAAGAGACAGCATGGGCCTCAGCAGGTAGCTCTAATTGTAGGCATATGTAGCATTAGAAAAGTAGGCTACAGAAAAAGAAAAAGCTACTGTGTGGCCTGTCACAAGTGAACTAATATTATGTACATAAAGCGTAGCTGGATATGCAGTGAAAATACTAAACTAAAATTTCTATACAAACCAGGAGAAAGTGAAAAAAGTACATATTCTTCTGTTTCATAAGTCAAATCAAAGTTTGTCCACTTAAAGCTAAGTCCTAAGATGTCAACTGCATTAGTTAGGTCTAGTCTCAGGCTGGAACTTAATTTCCTGTGATATATCACTGTGGTTTTTGAATTTACATCAGTAGTAGTAACTTAACTTGCATTTGTTCCAAAATGAATTTCATGCTCAACTTGTTTTTCTTAATTAAACTTCCTTTAGCGGTCCCTAATATGTGTATTATTAAAACTCATTAGTCCCATCCACAATTGCCTGTCATTTTTTTGACTACACATTCATATATTGAAGTGCTGTGTTGCTATATATAGGAAGAAAATTAAATAATAAATATGGGGACTTGAACGTTTTATGAGTGTCAGGATGACAGACTGCCTGCAAGGCCCATAAGGTTTCACACAAAAGAGGCATTACTGCTAAAGCTAACATGCTGACACATCTCTGATCTATAAAGTCTGCAGTAATGGCAGCAGTGAAGCGCTTTGCCATTGACTAGAATTTCTCTCACATGCAACGGAAATAGGCACAGAAGAGATTATACTGACTGTTATAAAAAGAATTCATATAAAAATCCCCCAAAAGTTTAATGTCTAATAATTTCAAACTCCTGGAATGATTCACTAGTTTTCCCTGACTTCACTTAAGCTTCGAGTTGACAGTCATTCTCTATCACACAGGTTAGCTACCAAATGGCTGTGGGGATTTTTGTTTGTTTGATTTTACTTTGTTTGGGGGATGACTCTTGAAGGCAGAGATTATTCAGATCATTTTATACCAACATAGTAATATTTGACATTATCAACATTATTTCATTAATAACAGAACAAAAGTGACCAGCAAATGGGTTACTATTAAGGAATCATTTTTCTTAGAAATCATTTTCTTAGAAACAGAATGTTGCTATCCCACAGGATTATATGGTTAGCTACCTCATGATGTTTTAAATTATCTCTTAAAAAGCAATAAAAACATTAGACTCATCATGAGTGTTCACAAATTTGATATTTTTCAATGCTTGGCAAATTCAATATGTCAAAAACTTGAATTTTAAATTAATTGAAAGTTGGTTTTTGTTCTTTTTTATTTCTCAATAAAGCAAAAGAGATGGAAGATTTGCACTTGGAAGTGTCATGTGTTAAATTTCAACAAGTCATTTAAAAATAATTGCCCTTATCACTTTGCTTCTAATTAAGAGTGTGTTGCTAACTTCTTTTTAATGTAAAATAACATTTAATGTAGTTAATCATCTCAAAATCATAGAAAGAATCTATAGCAAATGTGTTAGCTTTTCCTGAATGTTAGGCCAGTTGCAACACATAAAAGGTTTTTGAGGGACAGGTGCAGCTGTCAAGCAAAACTCCAGTGAATGCAACATCAGTTTTTACATAGTGATAAGCTTAGAGGAATCCAATGTTATTTCTTGTCACTTATATCAGAAACTGTGCTTGCAGATTTCCAGGGCTAATTGACAGCTTCCATCTCTTTACCCCAAACTACCACATTTTGTGTTACTCTGATAGAAAATTCACAACTCATCAAGGCTACCATGTTCTTTTTAATAATTAGGACCAAAAACATGTATTGGGTAAGATGGAGCTAAATGGAATTAATTTTCTAAGTGAATTCCTCAGGTTTTTCAATAATTCCTAGAACAATCCACTCTATTAGGGAGAGCATTTATCTAACTGGGTACCTTGCTCTTCGTTTACTGGCCGCAACTTTTTAAAAAATTTTGGTGTGTAGTTTTGTATATACTTATTTCCATTGTTATTGGCTTTCCAAAGTGGATTTACTACCTACAAAGTTTACTGAAAGTTTTGTGTATGTACTGCTTGTAGAAACAAAGGATACAGCCCCTCCAAGTAGATTATAACAAAGAGAAGGTCACTTTCTCCCTTTTCATTTTAACTGACAAAAGAGAATATAATAGGGGAGTAGAAAGTATTGTTTATTCTGACAGAAATGTATTTTCCAGGCACTACAAAGGCACATTCAGTTAAGTCTTCCATTTTAACACTATGGCACATGCAATGACTACTGATTTAATGGTTTTGGAATATGCAAATCAATTTTAAAAGGACCTTCTTTTTCATGTTTCAAATTATCTATCTATTTTTATATCAACAGCCATATTCTCTATTAGCTTAAAAAGAGAAATTCCAACCCACCTACCACTCACCTTCATTACTTATTTGCTATTACCACTTAATGATATTTGCTAGCTGTCTTTTTAAAATCCGTTTAAACTTTGAAAATATTTTAAATACTATTAGACAGTGTGGCTAGGATCAGTGGCTAGACTGTGCCAATACACAGAACATCCATTCTTCTACTCTCAGTCTGCACGTGAACCACGTGACTTATAGCAGAGTAAAAAGAGACTAACCTAGCTTCTCAGATATCGCCTTAAAACTAACAATTGGGTTATAGCAGAGTAAAAAGAGACTAACCTAGCTTCTCAGATATCGCCTTAAAACTAACAATTGGGTTTGTAGAAACTATTTATTGTTATTTCTATAATCTCTAAATAAGCCTACACAACGTCTACTGAAATAAGAAATATCTACCTTTTCCACTTTAGAATTCCTGGGAGACAAAAGTTTTATATTTTGCTATTTCATCTTTAGAAAACAAATCTCACATGCATGCTTCAAAATTAGATTTCAGAAACACACATACACACACAAATCCAGGAAGAAAGTTTGGTTAGACTAATCTTTTAATAGTCAGAACGTCGCATGTATCTGGAATTCCTGAAAAAAAGTACTAGAGAATGAGTGTGCTTCAGATGACATTGAAGAGTTGCCTTTTGATGAGTTCACACACACAGACTTCAGTGGTAAAACCACAAAGGTATCTGCATACAGTCATAATCTGTAAACCAGAAATCCCTGAAAAAAGGTAACACTTTTATTCTAAAGATTAGAACATACAAAATGTATGTTTTATCTTTTATCTATCTCCATTTTATTCCAAAGCATTTGAATGTCTACAAGTTTAAAATTTAACGAATTGGCTTTAAAAAAAAAAGCCAACTAAAATTGTGATGTTGAAGTCTCAGATTCGTTAACCTACTGAACACATTTATATACATCCCTCAAATAAATCAGTTCTTTGTATGCAATTGTTCTGAAGCTACGTGGACTCCAAAATTACTTCAGAATAATATGCTTTTCTGGGTTCCAAAGCAACTTTTAGTTGCCTGAGTCAATTCATATTCACTGATTTGAGTGATTAATTATAGCTGCTGAAATTGATTTCCTTCTGCAAATAAAGATGAGTTTTTCTTGGGAGCTACAAAATTCTTAAAAAAAGAAAAAAATTCCTGAATTCAGCTGCAAGAAAATGTCTGGGAACGCGCGCGCACCGCTCAGTTGGAAAGAAAAGCCAGTAAGTGGCGAGGCAGGCAGGGCAGGGATGCATCAGAAATGCAGCCGTCTGCCTGGCGCACTCGCTAGCCTGGGCCCTCGGCAAAAAGCCTGCAACGTCTTCCTGGGCTGCTCCAACTCGAAGAAAGTTACCTCGGACTTGTATTATGGAAAGTCGTGCAAGTGAATTACAAGACAACATGTGTGGCCAGCCACCCACTTCTACTGTCTCTATCCGGTGCAGTGACCCTGTAACCCTTTAGTGTCCGGTTGAGAGAAGCGGGAAGCGGGAAGGGGTAGGAAGAGAGGGGTGGGGGAGGAGACAACATGAAAACAGCCAATTCCCCCTGCAAAATATCCCCCTAGAAGCCACGACAGCCGCAGAAACGGCGGCCGAAGCACCAGCGATTTCTACTTGGGCTTTTCCGCTCTACATGCAGGTTTTCCAAGGCACCGCTGCCTCCTCTCCTTAAAGTATTGCTAGGAGAAAGCACTGGATCTGGGAAGCGTCTCCCAACTGAGAGATTTTCAATGCAAAGTTGAGAGCTTGGAGAGCTGCTTGGCTCCCCCACCGACGCCACAAAAACAAGGTTTTTTAGCTCGATCTAGGTAGCTCCCTAGCGATCCCCCCGGGGATGCGCGAGGTGGTTTTATATTCCCCTTTCTCTCTCCATTTCACAGGCACCGCGTCCGCATCACCTTCCGCGCAGTGGCACAAAACCCTGGCAGCCCCCTCCCAATAAAAGAGCCACAAACTTACCCTCAGCAAGATAAATCCACAGAGGGAGCCCCCTCATCTTTCCCCGGTCCCTTTGCAATGATTCAAGGAGACGGTCTCTACAACACTTCGCCGTCAAATTCAAGCTGAAATGGTCCAAGTATTTACCAGTTTCTAGACGCTTTTTTGAAATCTCGAGCACCCGGTAATTCTTGTTCCAGGATTCAAGACGCTTCCTTTTCTCTTTTTTTGCTTTAAGCATCCGCAACCCCAGTTTTGCACCCCCCCCTCCTTTTTTATTCACCCACGGACACTTCTAAAACGTGTCGATTGATCCTTTTTTCTCTCCAGATGCAACCACGATCCAGAATCCTGGGGACCCAAAGCCACCTCCATGTAAATCCGACCATCAGGCAAGAAATACAAATGATCAAACAACGTTACTTCTTTCGGCTGCAATCAGATAATCCTACTAATCCAATAGATTTATCTCGATTGGAAATTGACCTCAAAAATGAATTCCCGGTGCTGATGTCCAGAAGAACAATTTCATAACCCTGTTCGGGTGACTGAAAAAAAACTCTGGTTTCTTTCTTTCTTTCTTTTTTAAAAAATCTTTTTTGGATTCTGGGTGCACTCCTCGCAAAAAAAAAAAAAAAAAAAAAAAAAAAAAAAAATGCCGAGGACCCTGGTTTTACCCTAATATAGGTTTCTACTCCAAATCGGTGCAGGATGAAAAATGGTACAAAGATACCCCTAGTGGCTCCAGGCGATATTGCAGGGATCTCACTTTTTTTTCCCATCCCCTCTCCTCACCTTTTTTTTTTTTTTTCTTTCTGCCCCTTTAGATAACTGGCTACTGCAGTAGTTAAAGAAGGCTGAACTGCAATTAACATGAATAGTATATGACTACTTGAATACAGCATCTGATGTTTCTTTGTTTTACGTTTAAAGACTGAATCTTCTGTGTTTCTGTCTCCTCTGGATTCTATTTTTTTTTTTTTGTCTACAAAAATTTCCCCAATGGCAGTTAGTAGCTAAAATGCCAATTTGAGGCAATTCGGTGATTTCAAAGCAATTGTATTTGTTTCTTTAATAACTATCGACCTAAAAGAAGCCTCACTCTTCCTGAGATATGCTGCTTTTAGAAAAACATTTAAAATTTTATTTCCTTTAAAGGAATATGATTGTGTGTGTGTGTATTCTTAGATAATCTCTTACTCATTTGGGACTTTTAGTGTTCATTCAGCAAAGCAAGTGATAGCTCCTGTAAGCCTGTGGTCACAGAACAAGACCTAAGAGTCATTACATAGGCCTCAATGTTGCTTACCTGAATGCTTTTAAATTCAATGACCTCAAGATTACCCCTAGCATTTCCGACAGGCTCCAGAGAAAGAGTCAATGCAAGGAATTTCAGGACTTTGTTTTCCCAAGCGCTCTAATCACACTTTGAGGGCTTGAAACACAAATTGGGCCTAGTAAACTAGAGAAGTTGAATTCTCTTTCATTGTGAGGGGTTCTGTAGCTGCAAGCAGTCCAAGACACTCTTTTTTAACTGACTAAATAATTAAGCCTTTTTAGTGTACAAGGTGTTAAGGAGTCAAAAGACCTTTCTTCTACCACTGGTGTTGCTATTAATTGGCTATGTGACTTTGGGCCATCACTTTTTGGCCCACGGCTAATTTATCTATTAACACTAAGGGGTAAACCCATATAAATCAATAAATATACATGTTCCTGGATGGGAGAATCAATATGGTAAATTAATCTATAGAAGTAATGTAATTATTAATAAAATCTACTACAATTTTTTTGTGGAAGCCTAAAAGTTAATTCTAAAATGTGTTTGCAAGGGCAAAGGGTAAGAAATTATCAATATAATCTGAATAATCTGAAGAAAAAGGTTCAGGAAGTTCCAATATGAACTATTAAGGCTTAACATAAAATAACAGTAACTGAGGCAATGCAGATGTGGTTCAGGGCTAGAAACTAGTCCAATGGAACAGAATAGAAAGTCCAGAAAAATATTCATGGATTTGTGGAAACCTGATAAATAACTGGTGACATCAGAAAGCACTGAGGGAAGATGACATATTCAGACACTGAATTAGCCATATGAAATAATGATAATACAAGATTGCAACTTCACATGTATGTATGTTAAGGTGGGTTAAAGACCTAAAGATGCTGAGCAAAATTTTACAACATTTAGAGGGAAATAGCTTTATGATTTTGGGTAGATGAGAACAGAAAGGTTTACTAAACAACATAAAAAAGCCAAAGTCCATAAAGAAATAATATTAAATTTGATATATTAAAATAAAGCAATTATATAAATCAAAATGTACACTCATAAAAGATATTTGCAATGCATATAATCAAAGAAGGATTACTATCCAAAGTACATAAAGGGGCTTATAAAAGATAAAAAATATAATAGGAAAGAATGGGTTAAGGAAATGAATAGTTGATTGACAGAAAAAGATTCTCAATGTCCAATAAGCATCTGAAAAAGGTCCTCAATCCCCCTAGTTATTAGAGAAATGCAATTCAAAATAATGAGATTTTTGTTTCCCAGTCATGAAATTGGCAGAAATTTACAAGTCCAGCAAAACTTAATATTGATGAAAATGTGAAGAAATTACAGAGAGTATATGATAGTACAAGTTCAGAGAGCAGTTTAGCAATAGTTGAACATTTTTATGTCCTATAATCCAGTTTTTCCACTCCTAGAACTATTCATTCCACAACTATTTGAAAGAGAAAAAAACAGTAGGAGAGAGAAATAATCTAAACACCTTCAGATAAATAGCTGGACAAAATATTTATAGAATATTCATATACTGCAATAGTAGAAACGGTAACAAGAAAAATGAATGTTACCTCAGCTCCTTGAGTTGATATAAATGAATCTCAAAAAATATAATATGCAGCAACAACAACAAAGGATGTTGCGGAAAGATGCTTATAGGATGATGATATTTGTATATAAAATTCAAAAACAGGTAAAATAATTACATCTATTATATTTGATCACATACCTATATACAGCAAAATATATCAACATGTATGATAATGACAAACATGATATTCAGGGTAGAGGTTACTGTGGGGAGGGTGCCAAGTAAATGAAATTGGAAAGGCATCACCAGAAGCTTCAACTGTATCTACTGTGCTCTATTTCTCAGCCTGAATCTTGAGTACATGGGTGTTTACAATATTACTATATAAATTGTTTATATGCTTTAAATATTTTATTAAAATTAAAGATTTAGACTACATTATTCCTGTGAATCTTTACCATATTATAAAATTTTCTAATTAAGTCTGAAAAAATGAAATATCAATATTTCATAATGTGCTTTTTATATGGAGATTTTTTTAAAAAACTGTACTACTAAATATTTCTAAGAAGTGTAAATGGAATGGTGCTTATTTACTTCTATAATTGATATTAGAAATTCTAGCTAGGAAGCAAAAATTACCACCTAAATGGGAAAATATGGTTGAAATTGAAAAAAATATATATGTAATCCTCAACTAGCTCTTTCTTGTATTTTCCTTTGATCTCACAAATAGTAACAGGGCCTCTGAAATTGTGAAACAGTCAATCAACTGATTGATCATGTTCAGTCTGACCAGTTAACTAAAAACTACCAAAGCCAGAGTAGCCATAAGCTGAAATTACAACATGAAAGAAAACTCACCCAGAGTATTTAAAATATGTATGTGAATTCAAATAAGAAGACTTTGTTGATATGAAATATGGGGACTGGAAATCTCATTTCACAATCACTAGGCATTATATTTCATAATCCATGCAAAAGAGATACCAAATATTAGAAAAGGCATTTTTTATAACTCAATTGAGCAGTTAATACTATTCAATGCACCCTGGACTCAGGAAAAATGCTTGAGTTAATTGTCAAACAATCAATTTTCAACTATTCTGAATAGATTTCCTGGAAATAACCAAAACAGATTTGTGATAAGGAAATAGTGATATGCCAATTTAATTTCCTTTGATAATAGAAAGATAAGGGAGAAGAAGCAGATGTACCATTATATTTCTGAAATTTGGAGAGGCTGACATTCTTTCAGCAAACACTTATTGAATACCTCCTGTATACTGGGCATAATCCAAAGTATATCATAGGAGAGTTGACTTTAAAACAGCCAACTACCACAAATCCTTAGTTTCCTATTGATGATTTATTTGTTGAGTGCAAATGGCTATTACTATTATCAATTAATATTTCAGCATCCATACTGAACAAGTATTAGATATTAATATAGAACTGAAGGTTCATTTTTCAGTATGTTTAAGTGTAAAATGAGTTCACAGAGTAAGGTAGTCAATGAAGAAAGAGGAGTAAAAGGAGAAGTGAAAGGAGAAGGAGGGATAGAGGAAAGGTGTTTGAGAATAAAAATGTGAATCAAATTCATTTATCTCCCTGGTGATTTACTGACAGAGAGGATAGAAACATACTTAATATTTGTATCCTTCATGATACAAATTATTAGTAAATGACTGACTTAATAGATCAAACAATAAAACTAGTTGCTATATGAAGAGAATAAATTCTCTAATGAAGAGAATCTCTTCATTAGATGGGCTTGCTAATTTCTTCAGAAAATGAAATCAATACAGGAGGAAAGTAAAAATTAGTATGAATAATAATAATGGAAATAAAAGACCAAGATTGGTAAACCTGAGCACTATAGGGCATTCCAATTTAACCGTGTTATTAAAATTTCAGCTCTGATAAAAAACATCTTAGAATTACATATCTTATTTTGGTTTCTATACCAAATAGAAAATGATGGATTGATTAATACCAAATGGATCATGTGAGGAAGCAGCATAGTTTTCATAACAAATAGAGGAGTAAGTATTTCATTGTTGCTTTTAATACAAAAGAGTTATTTTGAGAAAAGGTGGGGTTTTTTTTGAAAAATCATATAAATGCACATCTTTTATGACCAGGTCAAATCAATTCAGCTCTGGCTTGTGATAAACGTTTTAGGATGTTGTGAAAGATAGCAGCTCAGTGTCTGAAAAAGAAGAAATAACCGAAATATTTCATGTACCCCATAAACATATATACCTACTATATACCCACAACAATTTTTTAAAAATAATTTTAAAAATTCTGAAGCTAGAAATAAAATAAAACAGAATTGTAAAGCAAGTCTGGAGAAAAAAAAATCCTCTACCATCTTCAGAACTCCCCTGATGTAACCTCATATTAAGTGCTCAAGACTTGAATCTAAATGAATGGCAATTGGGAATTATGAAAGAAACAAAAATAAAAAGTGGTGCAACATTGTAAGTTCTAACTACTGCAAAGGTGACTGTTTACAAAGAGGTTCTTTCTACGGGGAAGAATCTACTCCCACAATCCTGCTTAATTAGAAAAGACTACTTAAAATGCTTGACTGGTACTGACTATATTTCAGATACGTATTGGGAGAACACACCTGCCTGGATGCTAAATATACCAGATGTATCTTTATATTTCATGGAATAGAGATTGGTAATGGAAACTAAGGAAGTGATGATCAAGACTAGACATTTTGTTTGTTTGTTTATTTATCTTGAGACCTGGTCTCACTGTCTTGCCCAGGCTGGAGTGCAGAGGCACGATCATGGCTCACTGCGGCCTCAAACTCCCCGGGCTCAGGTGATCCTCCCATGTCAGCCTCCTGAGTAGCTGAGAATACCGGCGCCATGCCATCACATCAGGCTAATTTTTGTATTTTTTTCTAGAGACAAGGATTCACTATGTTGCCCAGGCTAGCCTTGAACTTCCGAGCCCAAGCAATCTGCCCACCTTGGCTGTGCTGGGATTACAGGCATAGCCACTGCGACTACCCAAGACTAGATATTTTAGCATGAGACTGCCACTTTTGAAATGGGGCTTTTTCATCAATGTTGGTTAGAGATGCTAAAAGATATTTACAGAGGGACTCTTAAAAGGGTTTAAATCAGAAATAAATCCAGATTTTCAAAACAGACTTGAATAATTCTGACTTGTTAAAAACTTTCAAATAATGGTGCCATTAGGCTAATAATTAAGATTCTGTTTTCTTTTAGAAAAAGGTCTTTTTTACATCTATAATTTATACATTTATTTAATTGGTAAAATTGAAAAATATAGAAATTTCCAATTTCAAATGTTTTAGCTAATAATAGCATGATGCATTATTTTGCAGAATATTTTCTTCATTTTTGAATGTAAGTACATTTGTGAGGCAGTATTTACGCTGACCCTCTAATAACCTCAGAGCAGGTTCTCTTGATATTTTGGTGGCTTTTAATTCCATAGTACCATGATTGATTTTGACATTGCAATGTAGTATAGAATGAGTTAAATTGTATAAAATTATCTTAGATGTTTCTTAAGTACTGAAAAAACACAATCAGGAAACCATCTTATTAAATATCATCTATTAATGCTTATTGTAAAATATTAGTTTATTTGAGTCTATGTTTCCAGTATTAGCAGAATATACTATAAAGTTTGACCTAATAGGATGGGAAACCACATGAAAATTAATGTTCTATAGTTCGAGATGGAAAGAGAAATTTTTAGTTATATCCCAGTGGTATTGACATCTCATTGACTTCACAGACAAGAGTTGGGTACTCTTTTTTTGGATAGGATTTTATGCTAATTACATAATTAAAAGTAAACACTAGCCTGAATTTTCATTATTGTTCAATTAGCAACTTAATGAGCATCTTCTACCTGTCCCAAAATATTTAGTTCCATGATTTCCAAAATATTAAATAAAGGAACCCTTAAAATTACATCTTCTTCTTCTTTTTTTTTTTTTTGAGACGGAGTCTGGCCCTGTCGCCCAGGCTGGAGTGCAGTGGTGCGATCTCAGCTCACTGCAAACTCCGCCTCCCGGGTTCATGCCATTCTCCTGCCTCAGCCTCCCGAGTAGCTGGGACTACAGGTGCCTGCCACCACGCCCAGCTAATTTTTTGTATTTTTAGCAGAGGCAGGGTTTCACAATGTTAGCCAGGATGGTATTGATCTCCTGACCTCGTGATCCACCTGCCTCAGCCTCCCAAAGTGCTGGGATTACAGGCGTGAGCGACCGCATCCGGCCTAAAATGACATCTTCTAAAGGAATGGTTATTTCTCTGTCTTCTTGTCTCTCTGTCTCTATCTATCTGTCTATATATCTGTCTATCTATCCATCTATCACCTATCTATCTACACATTAATCTGTCCCTTTAAGCTTTGATTACTTACAAGAAACTGAGAAAATATGTCACAAGTTTTTCAAAGATGATATATTTTTCTAAGATCATGTGTGTTTGGTTTTAGAGTTTGTTTTTGCTTGTATGTGAATAAAATTATTTCTGATGACCTAGAAACAAGCAGAATGATTTAGTTAAACAGAATGACAAAACTATGTTACATTCAATGCATAAGAAATTGTTCAACCTTCCAACCATCATAAAATTCATGACTCTCAGCCTTTTCTTGTGTCCTCTTCTATAAAAGTTTCCCAAACCTTCCCTAGTGATAAACAAGCTAACAAATGGTGGATTTGTTACAAAAGAAAACAATTAAATTTTGACCCTTTATTTATAAATTGTACTAGGAGGAAGGGAGAGAAGGAAAGCAGGACATGGTAATATTTCAGACATAGTTGTTTACATAGATGAAGCAGAAAAGGCAATGTGAAGAAAGTTCAAAGCATGATTTGTTACATCACAAAATAGACTATGAGGATAGATGGTTTATGTGATAACAGAAAGTATACTCATTATTTGATAGAATGAGAATATAATTCTTGGCTTATGTGTAATACATTAAACCAACTCACAATTCACATCCTCATCATTCATAAGTCTGGTGAAGCTAGAAGATATATCTTATAGCTGAAATTCATCATACAAGGACTCAAACTAATCATTAAAACAACTACAGTATATTTGAACAGTGGCCCAAAGAACTGCAGTTTTAAAGTTCCTTCATAGACTCACAGACTCCTTTTGCTAAACAGAAAAAAGCACAAGAAGATAAATGACTTAACTAAGATCACGTTGAGGTCAGCAGCATCGCCCAGATGAGAAGCTGTTGTGCCATGCCACACCTGACTCGATGTTTCTTATGATTGTTTTTTGGTATTACCGTTTCGTTGATCTTAAAATATTGGACCACAAGCAAAATTTAAAAATTGAAATTAACAAATCAAGAAAGAATAGCATTAAATATACTTAATACGGTAATTGGAATAATACCCTCCACCACCCTCCCCCGCCACAGATGTCTTAATTCCTGGAATCTGTGCATATGCCACTTTATATGGCAAAAGAGACTTTGCAAATGTGATTAAATTGAGGATCTTGAGATGGAGAGATTACTCTGGGTTATCTAGATGGGTACCAAGTAATCACAAGGGTTTTTATTAGAGGAAGGCAGAGGGTTCAGGGGTCAGAATAAGAGTAAGAGATGTGATAACAGAAACAGAGATGAGGGAGAAAGAGAGAGTCAGGTAGATTTGAAGATGCTACACTCTTAGCTTAGAAGACGAAAGAAGGAGCTACAAGCCAGGGAAAACAGGTGGTCTCTAGGCAAGAAAACGGAATTTTTTCTAGAACTTCCAAAAAGAACACAGGCTTTGCCAATCATTTTAGGTTTCTGACATCCTAAACTGTAAGATAATAAATTTGTGTTGTTTTTAGCCATTAAATTTGTGGGAATTTGTTATAGCTACAATAGAAAACTAATACACTTATTTAAAAATATTAAAGATATTAAAAATATTATGGAAATAATCAGTGCTGCCCATAGAAACATAATGTGAACCACACAGGAAATTTTAAATTTCCTAGCATCCACATTAAAAAATGAAGAATCAAGTTAAATTAAATTTAATACTGTATTATATGTAGCCCAATATGTCAAAATATTATCACTTCAACATATAATCAATATGAAAGACTATTATTGAGAAATTTAATTGCTTCCATATAAATATATTCAAAATCCAATGTGTATATTATATTTAGAGTACATCTCAACTTGGAATAATTCCTTTTCAATAGCTCAATGGCCACATAAGGCTAGTGACTACCATAAAGGATAGTGCAGCTTTAGATTATAAGAAACAAGTTAAAAAGAAAATTTTATATATTATTCCATATCATTCTAAAGCTCTGTCACAATCTAGATAAAGGATCACAAAGGCTTCTACAAATTATCAGGATGGTTTTACAGGCAAGTTTCTGAAAACTTTGTATTTGAGAATTATATTTAAAAAGAAAGATCTGAAAAGAAACGAAACTTAAAAACAACATGAAAGAAGAGTATGATTACCTAATGATACTGATACTGAGTTGACTGACGTTTGTAAAAATGCCAGCAATAATAGAAAGAAATTTATGTGGTATTTTTAGAAGAAAATGACAGCCAAGGATGGGATCAGAATAAGATTGCTTGGAGCCAACTATATAATATGAACAAATGACCAAGAGAAAAGCAAAACTATTAAATCTCAGCTCCAATTGCTTCATAGGGAAGAATGGTGTTTGAACTGGAAAAGAATATGATGGTGAAGAAATAAGAATGCCTGAAGGTAACTTAAATTTGTTTTAAGATTTCAGGTCCAAATTTGTTACCTAATTTAGAATACCAAAAGTACGTGAAGAAGTGTTCTTGGAACTAATATCTATTATTTTTAAGTCACCATGAAAAAGTGCCATGAAAATTAACTGTCCTGGTTTTCAAACAAGATTCCATAAACTGAAGTTTACCAATCTTGACATTAACTGAAATTCTAAAACTGATGCTCATATGTGTTTGCTAAGTGTAAAGTCACCATAATTTTTTTTTATTTTTTTATTTTTTATTTTTTATTTTTAGAATTACTGGAGCTGGGTGCAGTGGCTCACACCTGCAATCCTAGGGCTTTGGGAGGCCAAGGCCTTTGAAGCCAGGAATTTGAGACCAGCTTTGGCAACACAGTGAGACTCTGTCTCTATGCAAATTTTTTAAAAAATAGCCCGGCATGGTGGCATGAGACTGTGGTTCTAGCAACTTGAGAGACTGAGGCGGGAGGATCACTCAAGCCCAGGAGTTGGAGGCTGTAGTGAGCCATGATTGTGCCACTGCACTCTAGCCTAGGTGACAGAGTGAGATCCTGTCTGTGTTTTTTAAATAATTATTGGAGTGGCAGATCAAATGTGTCATTTGCATAGTTTATCTTAACTGCATCCAAGGGCTTTTACAAAAGTCACCCCTAGTTTTCTTGTGAACAAAACTGTGACATATGGGCTAAATGATGGTGTAGTTGAATAAATCCCTTAAAAGTTGAACAATCATTCTACTGTAGTATTCAATATATGTTCTCTCATGTTATCTTCTCTATTCCTTTTTTGAGTCATAAAATTCCTAAAGGAATTTGTTTTGTAATTGGGCTTGTCCATTAAGTATGTTAGTTTCATGGGAAATAGGAATGAGACTTTAGTAAGGTGCCTGCCTTAGATTACAGACTTTAAATAAATTATTTAAAACCATCAACTGTTTTGGAATTAGTATTTTCAATGATGCTTTAAAAATTACTTACTAATAAAGAGTTTAATTTAAATTATTTAAATATAAAATTTTAAATTGAATTTTAATTCAATTTAGTCAAAGTTTAACATCTATTTTCTCTCTGTGTCCTCAATTGAAAGACAGAAGTCAAGATCTTATATTTGGGTTACTCCCTGCTACACAAATATTTCTATTTAATTAATCAACTATACTTTAGTTATCAAAAGGTATTTCTATTGACAGCATTCAATTGACTTAAAAAGAACTTTACCTTATAAAAAGAGCACATTTAATAAAAACTTCAAAATTAATCTAAATTTAAAACAAATCGGTAATTAAACTGCAATTTAGCATCAAAACTAATTATGACTGCATATATTTTAAATGAACTTTCATGATATAATGGCAATGTTTTTTCTTTTTTCTTTTTCTTTTTTTTTTTTTTTTTTTTTGAGGTGGAGTCTCGCTCTATTGCTCAGGCTGGAGTGCAGTGATGCCATCTCGGCTCACTGCAAGCTCCGCCTCCTGGGTTCACGCCATTCTCCTGCCTCAGCTTCCTGAGTAGCTGGGACTACAGGCGCCCGCTACCACGCCCGGCTAATTTTTTGTATTTTTAGTAGAGACGGGGTTTCAGCGTGTTAGCCAGGATGGTCTTGATCTCCTGACCTTGTGATCCGACCACCTCAGTCTCCTTAAGTGCTGGGATTACAGGCGTGAGCCACCGCGCCCGGCCTTTTCATCTTTTTTTGACTCTTAATCCTGACACAATCAAAATTTTTTTCTCTATCCTTCCTCTTCCCATATTCACTAAGAACTAGACCAGGAAACAAATATAACAGAAAAAATAATAATAATAATAGCATAAAAATAATAAGATCTCAGGAAAGCCTGTCTTCTTCCTATACTCATTATCCATTTTCCTCTCCCCTACTCTATTTCCCTTGTTTCAACATACATACAATATACATAATTATATTATAAATGATTATATATTAAATATACTGAATTAAATGTATATAATTAATATATATAATATACATATGAAGATACATGTATCCCCATTTAGCCATTACAAAGACTAACATTTTTAACTATGTATTTGCTCTCTCAGCTGACTTGAAGGCATGCACACTTAATAATCATAACAGCAAAAATAATATCAACTCTCATTTGTTGAATGCATCCTCTGTACCAATATTGTACTCAGTTCTTAAGCTTACAGGTTTTTTTCCAGTTTGGAGGGTACATATAATTTTTCCTACTTTTACAAGTCAGAAAACTGAAACCCACTAACACTAAGTGACTTGCTGCTGCTAGCAACGGATTAAACTGAGATTACATCCAAGTTTAAATCCAAGCCTCCTGTACTTCCTGTTCATTGTGAAGGGTGGTAACTCAGAGCTGAAGAGAACAGGTACTGAGGAAATAGTTTCAGGGTTCGGAAGTAATACAAATGGAATGGACAGTTGAGGGGTTCTTCTAAAAAAGAGAGCATCACCTTGTAGTGATGGGATGCTCCCAGCACTTCTTGTGAGGCAGAAATAACACCGGGACTTGGGGTAGCTTTAGTTCTCCTGCCTCACACAGGGCAGGAGAAGTTATTACTCAGAGGATGAAGGTGTCTCCTTGTAGTGAGATACAGTGATTCCTCCCTGGGTGAAGCTGAACTATGTATTAAGGCAAAGGAAGACAAGAGGAGGGCTCTGGTGAGACTGCAAATTGGGAAGTGTAAGCAAAATCCTCCTGAAAGGACTGATCAGATGAGAGAAAATACCCAGGATGCCCTATTCAAAATTCTGCATTCACAGCAACATATTTGGTTTCCCTCTTTATCTGGGAAAGGGCACTGGCTCGAAATCATAACTATGACAACCAGAGAAAGGTGTAACTAGAAGCACCAGGAGAGAATGACCAGTAAATATGAAAGCAGAAGGGTCAACTAAGGTCAGGGAAATAGATCACAGAGGATTTGGTAACAACAAGATTCTTCATCCAGAAATTGCAAGCAATATTGGAAATTCTTGGCATGGACTCAGATTGGTTCATGGCTGCATGGCTGTGCCAGCCTCACTGGCCTCTGCCCTCCTCATCTAACTTTCATCCAATCTATTTTTCACACTGACACCAAAATAATGTTTTTTATACTACAAATCTGAACAAATCATTTATCTGCTTAATTTTTACCAGAATTAGTGGTTCTCCCTATGGTTGCACATTAGAATCCCTTGGATCCCTTGGGAGGGGAGTAAAAATACCAATATTTGGTCCCCTCCTTCAAGACCAATTAAATCAGAATCTCTGGAGCTGGGGCTAGGTCACACTTTCAAATTATCACTACATGCAGCCTGGGTTAAGAACAGGGATCCAGACATGTTTTAGACTCTGTAGAATGGTAACAAAGTCCTCCTTAAATTGGATCCTGATAGCATGTGGAGATGTGCACAGGATTTGCATTCAGAAAAACGTGAGTGATATTTAACTATATTATCCCTCTGAGTAATAACTTCTTAGAGGGAAAAATTATTCTTTTTCCTCATCTGCAATGTGGAAGTGGCTGTAATATTTGTAGAAAGACAGAGTTATCTATTTCCTTCAACCTTAATTTTTTACCCTGTTCACATTGCATAAAGGAAGATCTTTTAACCTAACACATACCTAAGTTTTGCTTTTGAGAATGGGCAGTATTATTAATAGGAGAAAGGGCTCTTGGATTTGAAATGCTCCATTAAAAGATCACCACCAACAACAACAACAAAAAACAAACATCTAAACCTACTTCGCCTGAGCTTTGTTATGAAACTACTATGAAAAGAAGATTCATAATATTCCAGCCTAATGCATGCTCTTAAGCACAGTGAATAACTCAAGGAAGCATCCTGGGATATAAGGTTACCATCACTTTCCAATGAAGTTTAAAATGACCATTAATATTTATTTTTCTTTTAATAAAATTCATTCTGATAAATCTAGAAAACTATGGATAAAATTGTCCAGTACAGAGATTTTTATCTCACTTTTAGGTATGGGAACTTGAGCCAAGAAAAATGCAACATAAAAAGTGTGACACCTCCATTAAATAACCAGATTCATCATGCCAAGGGCATCTTTTATATATTAGATACTCACACCTAGAGACAGCTTTCAGCGTAGGTAATATTTTCCTTAAGAATAACAGTCATTTAAAAAATACCTCACTATTCACTAAGCACTTCAACATATCTGATTTTATTTCAGTTTTGGAAAAAAATCAAGACAAGAAGGGCAGATAATATTTGTTCCTCTTTTATAATTAAAACAATCAGCTAAGAAAAATTGGCTCCCTATGGCCACACAGAGGTCTGCCAACCATAAAAATCCAACCTTTGAACTCCAGGTCTACTGCTCTTTCTAATAGTAAACACTGCTATTTTTCCTTAAGTGGTGTGGGGTACAGAAAGACCTCAGATAACTTAGTCTTGTGGCTTTCAACATATTTTTTGTGGAGGCCAGTTTTCCAAAAATAATAAATTAATAGGCTGGGCATGGTGGCTCAGGCCTGTAATCCCAGCACTTTGAGAGGCCGAGACGGGTGGATCACGAGGTCAGCAGTTCGAGACCAGCCTGACCAACCTGGTGAAACCCCATCTCTACTAAAATACAAAAAAATAGCTGAGCTTGGTGGCATACACCTGTAATCCCAGCTACTCAGGAGGCCGAGTTACAAGAATCGCTTGAACCTGGGAGGTGGAGGCTGCAGTAAGCCAAGATCACGCCACTGCACTCCAGCTGGGGTGACAGAGTGAGACTCTCTCTTAAATAAATAAATTCACTTTAATTTGTAAACAAATAATTCAGGCGAAAACAAAACTGACATAGTATAAGTGAAAGAGGCAGGGGACAAAGAGCTCTGGCCACCAAGTTCCCATCCCCACCAGCACCCATTGGGGGGAGGGCTTCCTGGAGCGCTAAAAATCACATGCTCCTTTTACAAAGAAGGAAGCAGAGGCCTCAGAAATTAAAATTATTTGGTTAAGCTCACCCAGTTAAAGATTTCAGGTCTCTGGATTCCTAATGAAATGCCATGTTATAGTGTCTCCCAGATCACATGGTTGTGAATAGCTTCAGCTACCACCTCCAAGCTGGCCACTTCCCTTCCTGCCCAGCAATCTCTCTTTCCACACACTGCCTCTCTAAGCATGCTGCGCTACTTGTGGCTTTTCAAATCCACCTTGCTCTTTCTGAAACATTTCACCTTTGCACATGGTTTTCTCCCTGTTTGAAAGGCTTTCCTTTTGGATGCCCTTTCCTAATCAATCCACCTTTCTAATTTCTATAGATCCATCAATTCTTACTTTAGTCAGCACTGCCTCTATTAACCCTTCAGAGATACAATCTATCCTACCTCACCCCTCACTGCCACTCTTGACCCCTTCTGGCCCCCACTCCCAAGATAGGTTGGGGTTAAGCCTACTCAAACTATGCTTATCCTTATCTTTTATCATATTTGCTTATATTAATTGTTCTTTGGGAGACAGAGTTTTATCTACATTCCTACCTTTGTTCCCCAGCATTTTGAATCTATTGAGTATCATAATCAGAATTTGTAGAAGAAGAAATGCATGAATGAATGAATGCTATCTGCTAAGTAATTTCTTAGAGAAAGCATGAATGTGTGGTAGTGTAGAATACATTCCAAAGAAATGGGCCTCAGTTGAACTTACTGCCTATGCTATATCATATTGCCAGAAAATGACAGTCATGGACCCCAGCAGCTCCCAATTCACAGCTCTTAAAACTTCTAGGACCATGACAGAGATGTCTTGCTAGATACCTACATTAAGCACCCTAATCTTTTATTCATAAATTTGAACAGAAAAAAAGAAACAGCAAGCATCTGAAAAACAAATAGCATTAAAAAGGAAAAACAAATAAATAGAAAAAAAAAAAAGAAACCATGATGAGAAAACAGATATTTTCAGAAAAAAGAAAAAAAAATTAAAATTTAACCTATTACTCTTAAGGAGATTTGAGGGACTACTGTTTTAAGAAAATAAAAATAGCCTTCTCCGAAAATATGTCTATAATATAGTAAAGATTTTTGATAGAACTTGAATGTTAAAATTTTAAAAAAATTAATAAAAGCCCTGAGTAACAAAATGCATGTGACTGCCGATTAATTCATAAACCGACAGATGAAGGAAAAATCTCTCACTTAAAAAGAGCTAGTATTATAATAGATTTTGAAGTAATAAGTAAATAAACTAAAGCTCACAATCCCAGGTATCCGTGTTGTTTTATTTTACTTCTGCTGGTTTCAAGAAAAACTAAATATAATAATTTTATTAAAATTATGTCTAATAAAACACATTTTCAAATTGTGCCTAATGTTCTCCTAGAACTGATAGGATAAACTAACACATTATTAGTGTAAAATCCTTTTGAAGAGTAATTTTACTGCACTTTTTAAGAACCATGCATTTCCCTTGTGCTACAGCATTTTTTTTCCTTGGGGAAAAGCTCTGAGAAAACAAACACAGAGTGTTGAAGAAAGAAGTCCTAGGCCAGGCGCGGTGATTCACGCCTATATCCCAGCACTTTGGGAGGCCGAGCCCGGTGGATCACAAGGTCAGGAGTTCGAGACCACCCTGGCTAACAGGTGAAACCCCGTCTCTACTAAAAATACAAGAAAAAAAAATTAGCTGGGCATGGTGGCAGGCGTCTGTAGTCCGAGCTACTCCAGAGGCTGAGGCCGGAGAATGGGGTGAACCCAGGAGGCGGAGCTTGCAGCGAGCCGATAGTGCCAATGCACTCCAGCCTGGGCAACAGAGCGAGATTCCATCTCAAACAAACAAACAAAAAAGTCCTAGACACTCCTTTCCCTCCTGAAGCTAACTTGATTTTCCTAATTTGTTTTGTTTTTGTTTCTTAAATACTTTTGTTCACTGTTGCTCAAGGAATGTAAAATTTCAATTAGGAGGAATAAGTTTAAGAAATCTATTGAGGCCGGGCACAGTGGCTTGTGCCTGTAATCCCAACAATTTGGGAGGCCGAGGCGGGTGGTTCACTTTGAGGTCAGGAGTTCGAGGGCAGCCTGGCCAACATGGCAAAACTCCATCTTTACTAAAAATACAAAAATTAGCCAGGCCTGGTGGGGGGCACCTGTAATCCCAACTACTCGGGAGGCTGAGACAGGAGAATTGCCAGAGCCCAGGAGGCGAAAGTTGCAGTAAGCCAAGAAATTGCCAGCCTGGGCAACAGAGTAAGACTCCGTCAAGAAAAAAAAGAAAAGGAAAAGGAAAAGGAAAAGGAAAGGAAAGGAAAAGGAAAGGAAAGGAAAGAAAAGAAAAGGGAAGAAAAGAAAGAAAAGAAAGAAAGAAGGAAAGGAAGGAAGGAAGGAAGGAAGGAAATCTATTGTACAAGAGTAGATTTTAAGTGTTGTCACTAAAGATAAATCATTATTTTTTGAGGTAATGTATATGTTAGCTTGATTTAGTCATTGCACAATGTATACATATTTCAAAACATCATGTGTAACACCATAAATATATACATTTTTATTTGTCAAATAAAAAATGAATAAAAATATTTTTCATTATTCATTTATTCAAATTACTGTTAATAGTTTAATTTATCTTCAGAGTCTTGATGTTCAATAAGAGATTTCTTTACTAAGAGGGTAAATATTTTCCCTTTCCTCTACAGGGGTTTGCTAGAGGTAAATCAAGTCCAATACTTTAATTATCCTTCCTCTAGAAATTCAATCCAAAAGAATAATCCCAGAGAAGGAAAACCTGTATGTGGAAATATGCTCCTCACAATAATTTATAGCAGCAAAATTAGGAATAATTAAAATACCCAGAAATAGTGAAATATTTAGGTAAAATATGCTAATACACTTGATAAATATTATTTTATTATATTATATAAAAATACAGTAAAATGTTCAGCATACGATTTAAGTGAAGAAAGTATTCAAAATTAAATTTGTGCTATAATTTCAATTATATAAAAATATATGCATTTGAATTCCAGAAATTTGAAGCACATAAAAATTAAACGTTATTTTTTGAATGAGTGTATATATTCCTTATTTCTATTTATCTAATAAAGCTAGTATAACAGACTTTTAAAAACTAAAAAACTACAAAATATTTCATTTTTTCCATCAATATCTCAACTTTATATGGGTTAAGAGTATTATTAACTATTTCCAATTAAATGTATGTATTAGTCATACATTCAATCCTAACTTCAAATGAGGGTTCTTGAACTTGGTGAATCTGCCCTCTCTAATTTATCTTATTTTTTAGAAGGTGACCATGTTAATGCAGTAATAGAAACTTACATGTATGTGTTTTACAGTTCTCAGAATTTATACACACACACATAAAATAATTCAATTCTCTTAACTACCAAGGTTAAAGTCAATAAGAGGAATAGGTATTTTAAGAAGAATAGGCACTATTCTTTTTTAATAACTAAGGCTAAAGAGGAAAATGAGGTCCCACAAGGGCACAGCATGAGATCCATTTCCAATTGTTTACTCGACATTAGTGGCATCTCATGGTACCATTTGATAACAGAATACTTCATTATACACTGAACTGATAGAGGATAAATCTCCCTTTCTAAAGTTTTCAAAATAGAGGAAAATTTCATTTATTTACATTTTCTTTACTCTTTTTTACTCAATACAAATTTGAAGACATACTATGTAAAGGTAGTCTACCAAATGCTAGAGATAAAGAAGTGTCCAATATACAGGGCATTTTTAAAGGATTTTCAGTCTTAAGAGTGAAGATGTACACAAAAATAAATATGTATGAGTCAACATGATAAGTGCTGAAGCAAGGATTAATAGCAGATAGTTAAGGAAACATTTAATTGTTTGCAGGGTGAGGGTAGAGGGTAGAGAGGGAGTCTGGAAAAGTACTTGAGAAAGACTAAGTATGGAGGATAAGTAAGCCTTAATGAAATAAGATGGGGCAGAGAGCGAGAATATTTCAGAAAGGAAATATTTTTTTTCCAAATTTATTAATTTGACAGAATTTTATTAATGGGTATTACTAAATAATCAAATTTTGCAAGCATTATTTAATTCCCAAATCATTGTCTTAATTTGCATAAGATTTGTCCAATTACACATATTTGGGTGACCTACTAGCCCATACAATTAACCAATTTGTCTGAATGCTGTTGAAGTTGAGGTTAAGGAAGGTCAAGAACAATGCCTAACGATTAAAACCTAGAGAAGCAGCTCAGGTCTGTAGCTTCAATCTCCATCCTGAAGCTATATTTCCTACTGAAACCATGATGCATGAAATGTACAGATCGGTTAACCCATTTACTAACCAGATACAGTCATGAATATTTTCAAGCTCTTTTTTAGGTTAATTTGAAATAATAACGTACTGCTGTATAAAAATTACAGGCTTACGTCTCCTCACAATACCTCACTCCGTATAGGCCGGTCTTTATCTAATCCCAGTATGCTCATCCCTTCTTTCTCTACAAATAATTTTACTTACTTTGAGTTTCAAGAGGATGAACATAGTGAGAGATTAAATCTCTATTTACAATTAATGGAAAATTGGTTCAATCCTCTGAATTTTCATATACCTAAACAGCTTTAATTGGTATTGTTTACTTTCACACAAAAGAAATGCTCTTCAATACATACATCTATGGCCTTAATAAAATTTTCATTCTAATATCTGCTTCATCTTCCTTGCAATTAATTGTGCTCAAATAAAAATTGTCAGGTCTCAGAATATTTCTGTCTTTCAAAGCATTTGGGGGTAGTATAAATTGGTTTACCTTTATGTGGTAATACATATAACTAGGAATTTGAAGACGCATGTCTGGAGCTGCTGCTTTTTTCTCTGTGGTGAGAGTTACCTTGTAGTTTTCCTCTATTTTCCTGTGCAATGTAATAAACCTACATCTCTGGGGAAGTGCCAGTGTTCTTATGCTATCTTTTAATTCCTACCCTCCCCTATGCCCATCATAATTATTAGAAGTAGATATATAGCTTTCTGAATGCACTCTAGCTCTTTTCCTGGCTACAGTGGAGTAGACCAAATAGGAATTCAACAGCATAGGTCTTGGGATTTAGTAAGATGTGGAAAATATTTTGCTGCTCAACTTCCAAATCCCGGTCACTTCTGTTCTACTTCCAGGCAATCTCCCTCTTCTCAATCCCATGCTGCTTCACTGCAAAACATCTGCTTTAGCCTTCACAGTCACTTCATTCTCCATCTGTAAGGCAGCCTATTTCACTATATTTGGTCTATTCAAGGTGCCTGGAACTGACTACTGTCTTGTATTTTCACCTGGCTGTCCTTCTCATAAGGCCTATTTCCTAGAACTGACTTCTGATGTTCCTCTGCTTCTTCCCAACCTTATACTGCACATACCCAGACTGACATCTTCTCTAACTTTGCCCCGTACTCCTTGTGTCTCTCATCCTTATCATCCTGGGCAGAGTTTCCCTTTTGGCAGGATGTAGCCTCATCATTCCCTCCGCTCAACAGAACCTCAACTTCTAGAGTATAAGCTCCCAGAAGATAGGAGTTTTGCTTATCACTATATTCTCAGTGTCCAGCAAATAGAGGTGGTTAATAATCATTCACTGAATGAAATAATACATTTTCCTTATGAATTCCTATTAGCTTGCTGATCTCTTCACAGGAGATAACCCAGGTACAACATAAGGCAATAATTGAAGAGGATATAATTTAAAACAAGTTCAGTTAGGCTATAATAACAACTTTAAAATTCCTGTTGTTTGCAGCAACAATGATTGACTTCTTGTGTTTGCAACATGTCCAACATGATTCAGTGGGGTTCTTGGTTCTCACAGTAACTCAAGGGTTCACAGTAATGAAAGTTACACCATCTTCTGAGGCTGCTATCTCCTCAGGAGCTCAGAGTTGATGAAGGTGAAAAGAGTATGGAAGATTCTACACTGGATCTTACATGCTCAGTCAGAAGATCACTTAACATTGTCTCATATGGTCAAGGCAAGTTATATGGTAGCACTCAAACTTCAAGAGCACATGGCAGTGTAATCCATGAAGAGAACTGGAAATATTACTGAGGACTCATAATGTTTTACACAGTTAGTAACAAACTCTGATCTACTTAAATATTCATTTCTCAGTAGGATGGTTTTACTTAATGTCTTCCTAAGGTGGATAAATCAAAATCTGTATTCTTTGTTACTGATCCTTTATTTTTGTATTTTCCCTTCATTCAGATCTATAAAGAGCATAGAGGAAAATACGGAAGCATTTAACGGAAACCTGTGCCTACAACACGTGGAAGGTGTGATGAGAAAGCTAACTTCTTTTGAGTAGAAAAACATTTCAGGAATATGGAACAGTGAGTGCAGAGGCCCTATGGCAGGACTGCAACTGGTATGTTCACAGAGCAACAAAGAAACCAGTGTGGCTAGAGCAGGGAAAGGAGGGAAGCAAGACAAGAGACGGCACTGACAGGTAGTAAGGGCCAGATCAGGTCAGGCCTTGTTTGCCTTTGTAGGGATTTTGGCTATTATCCAGAGAGAAACTGGAACCCCTTGCAGGAATCTGAGCAGAAGAGTGGAAGGAGTAGAGGAATACATTTTATTTTGTAAAAATTCAATTTGGCTACTGTGTAGAAACTGGTTGTAGAGGGACAAAGATGGAAACAGGAAGACGAGCAAGAAGCCTGTTGCAGAAATCCAAATGGAAGATGCCGACGGCTTTAACTGGGGTGGATGTAATAGAGGCGGTGAGGAAAGGATGGAATTCTTATGTATTTAAAGGTAAATCCCAAAAGATTTATAATATACAAGGGTATGAGAAAAAAAAAGATGACCCAAGAATGACTCTAAGGTCTGTGGCTTTGTTGCAGAATATTATCACATTTTTAAAGATGTCAGTAAAATGTAAGTCTGCATGAGAGACAACAGATACAAGCGTATCAAAGAGAATCAGGAGTCCTGGTAATGCTGGCGGGTCTGCAATTAGATAAAGTTGTTGCTTTCTTACATTTTCAGCATTAAATTTAACTTTACTACTTCTCTTTATGGAAGATAAACTTAAATCATTCCTTGGCTTTCAGGGCAGATTTACCTATACGTTATTTCCTTTAGATTTTTTCAACAGATATATTGGTTTGTTCCGATTTTCTCAGGTGAGGATGGGGCATCTCTCAAAGGCCCAGCTGATGTTTATTAACTAGCAAGTGCATGCACATTATCAATGTTCTTATGTTCGTAAATTTTTATGTAAAAATACTATGAGCAAGCACACTGTGTTCTCTTTATTCAATATTCGATGGCTGTAAAGCTACAGGCCAGCTCATGTCCTCAGATGCCCCAGATCAGTAAGCTAACAGGAATTCATAAGAAAAATGTATTATTTCATTCAGTGAATGATTATTAACCACCTTGATTTGCTGGACACTGCAACATTTTATAGCACAAGCCTGACTAATTCAAACAGTGGAATCCCTATCATCTCAGGTGGAGAAGGCTGCAGGTGGAATGGTTTTTGTGTGTATGTGTGTGGGTAGGGGAGTTTTGGTGAGATAAATAGTTCAGCCTTGGACATGGTAGGTCAATCTTATTAGACATCTTGGTGGAGATAGCCAAAAGAAAGTTATTGTGTCCTTAGCTACAAATCTGATTTTTGAAAGAGCTTTCTGGAATACAGACATGACTTTGAAAAACTGTGGCTCACTGGGAGGCTGCATGAAGAAAACCAAAGGAGTGAGTATAAACAGATAAGATGAGACCCAGTAATTGAACTTCAGATCAGTTGAATGTTGTATCTTAAATGTCGAGATGAGGAATATCCAACCAAGAAGACTATGGAATTATCAGTGGAGATCTCTGTTGATAAGATGAGCAAGGTGACATATAAACGTACTTTGTAAACTTCAAAGTCTTACATAAATTAAAGTTACTTATTGTCTTTTTTTTTTTTTAGACAATCTTGCTCTGTCACCAGGCTGGAGTGCAGTGGCGAGATCTCGGCTCACTGCAACCTCTGCCTCCTGGGTTCAAGCGATTCCCCTGCCTCAGCCTCCCAAGTAGCTGGGACTACAGGTGCGCACCACCATACCCAGTCAATTTTTTATATTTTAATAGAGAAGAGGTTTCACCATGTTGGCCAAGATAGTCTCGATCTCCTGATCTCATGATCCGCTCACCTTGGCCTCCCAAAGTGCTAGGATTACAGGCGTGAGCCACAGCACCCAGTCTACTATTGTCTTTATTAGTTGAATTAAGTTCACTTGCAGCATTCCTCATGGCCAAGACACACATGCATGCACACACATATGCAATTTCTAGGATTAGCTCAAGCTACTCTCTTCTACATTCCCTGGCATCTGGTCAAACGTGCTGCCTTTCATTCCTTGAACATGCCTTTCAATGGCTCTCCTTTATTTTTTGGCTCACGTTATTCTTGCTGTCTAAAATGTCTTCATGCTTCCCCACCATCTAAAAAAACAAACAAACGAAAACAAAAACAAAAACCTTAACTGTGCTGATCATCTATAGCCCTATTTCTCCAATGCTTTATTTTGTTTAATTGTCACACCATTAAACAAAAAAACCACTAGAGCATTTTTCTGCAATGTTTTCGAGCCTTCAGCAGATTATACCTTGTACTATACCTGTTAATGTGCACGTTTTCTCTCTCCCATTGGATGGTTAAATTCATTACAGACAGGGATAATGTCTTAAATAATCTCTGTATTCTTCACAGTATCAAATTTAATGCTTGATATGGTATATGGACTCAATAAATTATTTAAAAATTCAATGAATCTGTTGATTAGTAAGGTAATAAATATTTATTTGGAGCAATGCCTCACTTCTTTTGCACAGAAAAGTCTTTAACTAATATTTATTATAGTATTTGGTCTCTAATTTTAATTAATTCTATATTATTACCACATATATTTAATTTTTGCCATTATGTTTTCTAAATTGAAAGGGAAAGTCTTTGTGCTGCTTATGTTTCTCAGGGGATCTTGTTGTGAGAGATATATCTACAGCCATCATGACCTCCACTTCATCTCTGCCTGAAGATAATAAGGCTTCGGGATGGGATTTTGTACTAGGATTTAGGAAGCTACGAGATTTGGAAACAAAAGGCAGAAAGATGTTGAAGGGAGGAGGCAGACGCTAGAAGTCAACATCACAACCACATATGGAACCAAGGCGTGTTGTACCAGAGACAAGAGGCTTTGGAAGTAAAGGCAACGCTTCCTCAGACACAAGTTATCTGATAGTTTTCTTGCTAAAACAGATCAAATGTCAGCCTTTCTAGAGAGCAGTCATTCCTAAACTGAAAGTCTGGAAGGCTACCGGAAGTTCCTGCCAAGTAATGATAGACATTTTGCAGTGTCAGAAATCTTATGCCCAGAAGAAATTACTTGTTAGTTCTGGGGTGTTGTGGACTAGATTAGGAACAATCTAGGCTCCTCTTTAATATAAGACTAAGAAACAAACAAACAATACAAACCCCGCTGTATGATGATAGTTGATAGATTGCTATATATCTTTAATATATTTATTTTCAGTTAAACATAGTAATATATGATCTTCTGTTCTTCAAAGCATTTCATAGCTATTATCAATGAATATTATTTATAGGGTGTAGAGAAAGAAAGATATAGATATGTTGATACCTTGCAAATTCCGAAGAACTTCTCTAGTACTGAACTATCTCAAAAAGGGTTTTCCAGATGTGAAAAATAAATATAAATGTTGTTTTTAAGGTGCTTTCATAGATTTTTACTTAATCTTGAGTCATTTATTTATTTCTAATTTTTGTCTTGTTATCTTGGGGTAAACGGAACTAACTAAAACTTTCTGCAAATTTTACAAACCTCTGAAATTTGAACATGCTAGAATATACCCAAGAATCTAGTCCAAAACTAAACGACCTGTAGTAAAACTGGTGCTAACCTAAAATAGACGGGTATTTGAAGCTAGAATAATAAAAAAAAAAAATCATTCTGTTGATTGCTTTAAATCTACAGGAGTAAATTTACCGGAGTAAATAAGAAATTAGTCCTCCCCTTTCTCTTCTCTTCCCTTGTTTTCTTCTGCCTTTTCCCTCCCTCCCTTCCTCTTCTTCCCTTTTTCATTTCCTTCTCTTTCTTCCTTCCTTCCTTTTCTTCCTTGCTTCTTTTCTTTCTCTCTTTCTTTCTTTCCTATTTTTACTCAGTTTCCTTGCCATTCCATATTTCCATGGCTTAGGAAAAAATTCATAATGCTCAGATTTATTAAAAAGTGTATCTAGGCTGGGCGCGGTGGCTCACGCTTGTAGTAATCCCAGCACTTTGGGAGGCCGAGGCGGGCGGATCACGAGGTCAGGAGATCGAGACCGCGGTGAAACCCCGTCTCTACTAAAAATACAAAAAATTAGCCAGGCGTGGTGGCAGGCGCCTGTAGTCCCAGCTATTAGGGAGGCTGAGGCAGGAGAATGGCGTGAACCCGGAAGGCGGAGCTGGCAGTGAGCTGAGATCGTGCCACTGCATTCCAGCCTGGGCGACAGAGCGAGACTCGTCTCAAAAAAAAAAAAAAAAAAAAGTGTATCTAGACAAAGTAACATTATCACTGAAGTCAAATGATAATCTACATTAGTGTTTTTCATTAATAATTAGAAGTATTCTCTTCATGACAGAAAATCGTTTATATGCAATTTTAAAATCTACTTATATATATTTCATTTTACTAGCCATAAAAATATCAAAAACCTTCTAGCATTCATAGAAAATAAAACATATATTAAGATAACACTTTTCTTTACATCTCTAATTCTCTTTCGTTATATCTCGACTTCTATTTATACATGCCTTAAAAATTGAGATTTGATTTAAAGTATTTACTTGCTGGTGGGCTTTCTACTTCTGGATAGGATATAGGGGAAGTCAAAACACCTTCACTGTCATGATGTGAATAAAAAAATCCTAGACAAATTTAAAAATTCTAATATTCTGTGTGGTTAGTGAAGCATGGTGGGTGCTAGAAAGCCTTAATGAATCAAAGTCCAGACAAGGGCAAGCATTCAATAGGTGAGCCATGAGTATAGCATCTTGTATTCATTGGGTCAAGTCCTTAGTCTATGTATAGGCAGACACAAGAAAGGGTCTGCCACAGACAGGGAGACTTTTCAGGGATAAGGATAAATAGGCCATGCCTTAGACAGCGCAGAGTAGGTAGACTGTATGTAGATCAGAAAGAGACTCATATGCTAAAACAAATGTTTGGGCCATCAATTCTCGCCTATTGAATTTTGCCAAGAAACCAGTAGTGGAAAAGGGGCCGAAAATTGAGAGAAATCACAGTGTATTCCAAGCACCTTTGATTTTAAGGCTTTACTAGAAATGAATCCAAAGATAAACCAAATATCTGAAACTTCAGCCCAATGACTTCCAAAGTCCAAACTAAGATCAAAAAGGTAGAGGCAATACTGATGGTAGCTAGTACATCTATTCATAGATGAATTCAATTAATTAAATATGAGTGCCATATCAGATCTATTCAACCAAAAAAATTCTGACCGAGGATTCCTACATCTTAACCACCAGGAAGAGAAAAGAGCTTACCTACTTGGATAAACAACAACAACAAAAATCAAACAAAGCCTTTACTACAATATTCACTTTTCTATTAGACATAATACTCAGGATACAAAAGAAAATTATGAGATATATGAAGAAGCAAGAAAATGTGACCATATCCAAGTTAAAAGTGCAGTGAATTAAAGCAGACCCACAAATGGCCCAGGTAACAGAACAGACATAGACTTCAAAATAACCATTATAACTATGATTTTAAAAGGTCGAGGGGAAATGGATATAATGAATGAAGAGATTTTCTGTTTCAAAAGAGAAATAGAAACTCTAAAAAGCCATCAAAAATAATTCACTAGATGAACTGAATGGGGTAGGTCCTGTAGAAGAATGAGTAAACTTGAAGACGGGTCAATAAAAATTATTCAAACTGAAGCAAAGAAAAAACATTGCTAAAAAATGAAAGAGTTTAGTGCCTGTGACATGATATTAACTACTTTAGCATGTAAGTATTTGGAATACAGGAGGAGAGGATATATAGGATGGGGTTGGGGGGGCAAATGAGGAAATAGTGACCAGATGTTTTCCAATCAGATGAAAAATGTGCATTTACAGACATAAGAAAGTCAACAAACCACAGTAGGATGAACAGGAAGAAAATCACACTTAGGGATACAATATTCAAAGTGATGAAAACCAATGGTATATAGAACATCTTAAAAAGCAAGCAGTGAAAAATAATATTACAATTAGGAAAATAATAATTAGAAAATAACATCTGATATTCTATCAGAAATAATACAAGTAAGAAGACAATGCAACTGTATCTTTAAGGTGGAGAAGATAACATCTGATATTCTATCAGAAATAATACAAGTAAGAAGACAATGCAACTGTATCTTTAAGGTGGAGAAAGGGGAAAAAAGAATATTTGTTAATCCAAAATTGTATAGACAGCAAAAATACTTCAAAAAATAAATTTTAAAGACATTTTTACATAAATAAAAGTGAAAAAATTGATGCTACCAAATGTCAATTACAAGAAAAATGCCAAAGGAAGCTCTTCAAGAGGAACTGATGCCAGGTAGAAATTTGAATCTACAGAAAATATGGTAACTATATGTGTAAATATAAAATACTTTTTTAAAAATTTGTTTAATAGACAATTGAATATTTAAAGAAAAGCAATAACAAAGCATCATGGGGTTACTAACATAGGAATAAATGACAGCAACAGCATAAAATATATGGAAAGGGGTTCTGGTATTATATGTGAAGTGGTAAAATATTAATTCAAGGTAGACTGTGATGAGTTAAGAATTTATGCTGTAATTTCAATAGCAAGCACCAATAAAGGGATTCAGATAAAAAGTTAATAGAAGATATAAAACAGAAGGCTTAAATACATTCAATTATTTAAAGAGCACAGAAAAACAGAATCAAGAAAGTTAAATAGGGCAAAGAGAAAACAATAAAAGAAAGTAGACTTCAACACAATCTTATAAATAATTATATTAAATGTAAGTGGAGTAAATAATTTAAAGATAAGATTTGAAAATGAGAAAAAAATGAGATAAGTCATACGCTGTGCATAAGAGACACACTTCAAATATAAAGACAGAAATGGGTTAAAAATAAATAGAAACACAGGTGCCATACAAACCCTAATTACAAGAGATCTGGTGTGGCTATGATGATAGTAGAAAAACAGGCTTGAAGACAGAGTTTTATCAGAGATAAAAGTAACATTTCGTAATTATAAAAAGGTCCATTCATCAGGAAGACATGACAACTGAATATGTATATACCTAATAAATAAGCATCAAAATTTATTTCAGGGAGAAGTAAATGCATCCAGAATGATGGTTGGAAAATTTATCACTACTTTCTCAGTGACTGATAGAATGAGTAGACAAAAAAAATCAGTATGCCTACAGAAAATCTGAATAAATATATCAACCTAATGGATATTTATATTTATATATCCATATAGTCACAAAAAATTATAACTGCACATGGAACATTTATCAAGATATACCATAATCTGGGGCAAAAAATAAGTTTCAATAACTTTAAATATTAAAATAATAAAGAATATTTTCTCAGGCACAATAGCATTAACTTAGAAATCAACAGCAATTTTTCCTTTTTTTGAGACAGGTCCTCGCTCTGTCACCCAGGCTGGAGTGCAGTGGTGCAATCATAGCTCAAGGCAACCTTGACATCCTAGGCTTAAGCAATCCTCCTACTCAGCCTCCCTAGTAGCTAGGACTACAGGCACGTGCACCAGGCTGGACTAATTGTTAAATTATAAGAAGGGGACTCATTATATTGCCCAAGCTGGTCTTGAATAGGCTCAAATGATCCTCCTGCTTCAGCCTCCCTAAATTCTGTGATTACAGGCATAAGTCACTGTACCCAGCCAAAAATAAAAGTCTTTAAATAAAAACACATCCATATATTTAGAAATTAAGAACACCCTCCTAAAAACAAATTAGAAAAAGAAGAAGGAAATTATAAGGTAATTTAGAAAATATTTTAACTAAATGATAATAAAAGCATACAATATTGAAATTTGTGATTTGCAGCTAAAGCAGTGCTTAGAGAGAAACTGACAGCTAGAATCAATAAGTTAGAAAAAGAAGAGCATATATAGCCAAGGAATGTGTGCTTGTACACAGAAATTAATCTTTAAAAACCCAACAAAACCAAAAGTTTCTTTTAAGTAAAGATCAATAGCATCAAAAAACATTAGGAAGACTGATGAAGGAAAATAAGAAAACACAGATTAGGCATGTCATGAATGAAAAAGAAAAGATCAACAAAAAATCTTTTAGATCATAGAAATAAAATTTGTAAATAGTAGGGACGTTAGGTGAATAAGGTCACAAGTTAGATGAAGCAGACAAACTGTTAATACACAGCTTATCAAAAGCGATGGAGAAAATTAAAAACCTGAACAGCTTCATCTCTATTTTAAAAATTGAATTAATGATTAAAAATATTCCTAAAACAAACTTCCTGAAATAGGCCAAGAGGCTTTATTGTTGAATTTTCAAACATTCAAGGAATAAATAATGTCAATCTTTTAAAAGCATTTTTTCAGATAACATAAGAGTATAGAACGCTTCCCAATTCATTTTATGTATAATCCTGATATCAAAACTTGACAAGGGGCTGGGAGCATTTGCTCACGCCTGTAATCCCAGCACTTTGAGAGGCCAAGGTGGATGATTGCTTGAGCCCAGGAATTTGAGACCAGGCTAGGCAACATGGCAAAATCCCATCTCTACAAAAAAATATGTATATTTATAAAAATTAGCTGGATGTGGTGGTGCACATCCACCTACTTGGGAGGCTGAGTAGGAGGAATACCTGAGCCCGGGGATTTTGAGGCCATAGCGAGCCGTAATCATGCCACTGCACTTCAGGCTGGGTGACAGAGTGAGACCTAGTCTCAAAAACAGAAAACAAGCAAACAAATAAAAAAAGGTTGAGAAGGAACATGTAAGAAAAATAGATAAATGTGAACTAATAATTCTCCTAAGATTAGACACATCAGTCCTTACTAAAATATTAGCAAATGGATGGAACCACATAAGAAAGATTCCATTGGTAAAGTTTATTCAGTAAGTCCAAGGAGGCTTAACATTAAAAAATCATTCAATATAATTCACCAGTTAAAGGACAGAAGTCATACAACCATCTCAATTGATAGAGGAAAAAATACTTCCAAAATGTTATGCCCATTCATGATTTTAAGATATATTTCACAAACCAACAATAATGAATTTCCTTCATCTGATAAAAACTTACTTCTATAATATATTAAGAAATCAACAATACATAGCTAAACAGCTCAATAAAAATGGGCAAATATTTGAAAAGATAACTCATTAAATAAGACATATACATGGTCAATTAGCACACAGAATGGTGTTCAACATCTTTAGTCATTGGAGTAATGCAAGTTAAAAACCACAATGAGATACAATTTCTCATCCCCTAGAAGGGCTAAAACAAAAAAGCCAAAAAATACCAAATATTGGCAAGATAATGGAGCAATTTGAGCTCTCACACATACAGTACTTATGAGAATATATAACTTCTTCATAATAAATGAACCTAAAATTATTATGAAAAACAGTTTGAGAGATTTCTGTAGTTACACATCTACCCTAAAAACCAGAAATTCCACTCCTAGATGGTTATGGAAGAGAAATTAAAAATTCATAGCAGCTTTTTTCAAAGGAACCAAAAACTGATAATAAGCTAAATGTCCATCACCATGGGAACTGATAAATTGTGGAATACTATTCATCAATAAAAAGGAAGAAACTGGTGATAAACTCAACCTGGGTGAATCTTTCAAATCCAGAGAAGTCAAACACAATTCATTTCTACTGAAGTTCTAGAAGAAGCAAAATTAATTAAAATCAGAAGAGTAGTTTTCTGGGTTGTGCAGGTGTTACAAACTGACTGAGAAAAAAATGCACAATGGGAGGAACTTCGGGGGATGATGATATGTTTCATTTGGGGATGATGGAAATACTCTACAGTGGGTATTTTTCATTACCATACACTGGATTCTCTCTCTTACCACTGCATTCTAGAAATGATAGTAACTTAACCTTCACTGTAGATTTAGTCTGAAAATAAACATGCTTCTAAACATACAGAAAGACATGAAGAAACTTCATACAGGTGTGTTTCTCTTCTAAAGTAATTCTAAATCATCTTTAATTTTTAGTTTTGGAAACTGCTAGTACTTTATTAATTATACTATCTGGAAGCTTTATAGAATTATAATTCCCCACATAGATTTTAAAAATAAAGTGGATTCAAATATTAAAAAATTAAAATTATTTGCTGGTGTCACCATATGGTAGCAATTGAAT